>NC_000001.11:50765956-50917471 GCF_000001405.40 Homo sapiens | reverse complement strand
ATGTTTGAGGCCCTCTGATTGCTGCAAAAATCTCTGCTGGTTTCTATTTTTATTTGTTGGTTCTGTTGATGCAAAGCCTGTATTTTCAAGTTCTTGCTCGGAATTAAAAAGTCCCTAGCAGAAGTCAGCTTCCTCTTTAAGTTCTCTCGATTTCAGGATCTTATACCATCTTGTTCTTGTTGCCTCTGTGAAGAAGCTTTTCTGAGCCTGCAAATAGATGATTGCAGTGTATCTTTCAGCTTTTCAATTTGTTCTCAGCAAGAGTTAGTCTTCTGCAAGCTACTCTAGCCCATCTGGAACCAAAACCTTTTGAATGCATTGATGAGAATACTTTTTAAAAATAGTTTGGATTTTAAGTTTTGCTGTTTACCCAAGCATAAGCCATCATCTTTCACTGTTCTTTCTTCCTCCTTTCCTTGTCTTTTTTGATAGCTGATTCTCTTAGGGTGATAGATTCGGGACATTGTAGTTATCACGATTCATCTGGCAGAAACTTTCTCTCATTGCCAGTTACCTAGGACTTGGCTAATTAAAAATTAAAACTACAGCTTGGTTCATTTCTCCTTATCTTTAATTTCCTTTGATCTATCTGCTTTTTATTTCTGTCTTTTGCTTCTAATCCATGAATGGATAGGATAGATACTGTCTTTACTTACTTATTGACATTAATTCTGTCCTTTGCTAATAATTACTATTCTCAGCAGCATTTGATTATTAAAACTTCATTTCTATGTTTCCCTAAGTCTTCTAGGAGAAGTAATATGAAGGCTTCCATTCTCTTTCCAATCTATGATTTGTTAGTGCTCCTCTCCTTTCATTTGTCAAGACCTTTGCAACCTGTCAGGGAGTATGTCATATGGGAAATTATTATGCTGTGAACAGTTTGAAGATCTTTGTTTCTACGTTTAGAGAGGTTCATTTTACATTGAGGCTCCTGAGGAAGTGGGGCTCTAGAACTCTGAGAAAGCACTTTCAACTTGTCCATTAGGAGGAGGGTAGTGCCACAAGAAAGAGGCATCATTATTATGAAATCGAGGTGTTTGTATGTGAAGATAAGTCCTAAAGGGAATGGTAATGCTTATGGTTAAAAGCCCAGGTATTGGGGTCAGGTAGCCTTGGATTCCTTTCCTGTCTTTACCACAAAATTAGCTGTGTGACTGAATAATTTACTTAATCCTGTGTCATTTCCTCATCTAGAAGATGGGAATAATAAGTTACAGAATGTTATCAAGACTGAATAATATCAACAGTAAATAGTAAGTATAAGAATTAGCATGGTGCCTGTCCTGCATTCTACCCTTCCTCCTACGACCCCCTTTTGTTTGTTTTTGTCTGTCTTTCATGTGCTAGGCTTTCCTCAAATGTCTGGTGCTTTTATTATCTATTCACATTTAAGAGTATGTACTGAAAAATTACTTAGAAGCTCAGAGGACATGGGCTGGAATTATCAAACAGAGGGCTGTATTATCTCTTAAGGTTATTGTTTGATTCGCTTTTTTCTTTGGGAACATCCAAGTGTCAGTGTATGAAGTTATTTTCAGCTTTAGGGGAAAAAAAAAGGATTTTTAAAGGTTCCTGCTTGTCCACTAGTGTTCTAGAGTTGGATGGGAATAGGGACTGTGGATCTCACCTTTCAGAATGCTGACTTAGCCTTATTTTCAGTCCAACAGTTCACTCTTATCCTCCTATGGGACTAATTTTCATGAGCCTGAAATATTTATTTCAACATCTCTAGAATACATACCTTTTTTCTCGTAAGAAGGTTAAGAGGAAGGTTAGTTGCTTCACTGTGTGAAGATGGAATTTGGGAACTGGGAGGTTCCTTGTGGATTAAAAAAAAAAAATCTCCTATTTTCAGCCCCCTGCCTTACCTCTGCCTCCTGAGGTACCTGGTACATACCATTCCTGAGCCTTTCTTCAGGGCAAATCAGCTTATTTACCAGACATCATCTCTGTAAACAGTTAGGTTTTATCTTCTACTCGTCTAAGTGGTTGACTATTTTTAACTGCATCCTAACATGGTTCAGGGATATAGATATCTTCTATTGAATGAAAGATGGAGTTTGTTTTTCAGTAAGTTGTTCTTTTTTTTTTTTTTTTTGAGATGGAGTTTCGCTCTTGTTGCCCAGGCTGGAGTGCAATGGCGTGATCTTGGCTCACTGCAACCTCCGCCTCCCAGGTTCAAGCGATTCTCGTGCCTCAGCCTCCCAAGTAGCCGGGATTACAGGCATGTACCACCGTGGCCAGCTGATTTTGTATTTTCAGTAGAGACAGGATTTCTCCATGTTGATCAAGCTGGTCTCAAACTCCTGACCTCAGGTGATCTGTCCGCCTCAGCCTTCCAAAGTGCTAGGATTACAGGCATGAGCCACCATGCCCAGCTGTTCTTGTTTTTAAGTGATGAAAAAGAAGAGTAGAAGAGGACAGAAGCATCTTCCTCTGTGAGCCTAAAACCAGAAGTTCAGATGTGTTTTAAAAACTTTGCAATGTGGAGAGCTGATTTGGGAGTTCATAATTTAGGAAGACCAGTTAGGAAACTATTGCAGAAATCCAAGGATAGAGAGAAACATGCTTAGTCTAGGCTGGTGAAAACAAGGATATGAAAAAGGTGGATGCATATATTGATAGTGATTTGTTTGGATCTAGGGAATGAGATGAAAGGGGAGGTCTAGGATGACCATTTGGACATTACTTTGATAGCGAGATAGAAGGGATATGTTAAGTATAGCACATTGTCCCTTCTATTGCTTTTTCAGTTATGTGGGAGGGATCAGAAATAGACAAGAAAGAAGTTGAATAACATTATAAGGCAAATAGTAGAGTAAGACAAAATATAATTAAATGCGCAGTGATTGATACATTTACTCAGAAGATAACAGAATAGGCATAACTGTGTTTTTCAGTAGCCTAAGCATAAAGGCATAAAGTCTGTCATCTTTTGCCTGTTTTATCTGTCACATTCTCAAAATGAAATGTGCTAAGTAAATCAGGGTTTTTGTTTTGATGCACTAACTAGAATAGTTTTGGAAAAGCAGTTTGCCAGTGGGTAAGCTTGAAGAAGAATTAAGAATTGATGGTAGAGAATTAGAGAGTAGCATTGATTTTATTCTAGCTTATATTAAAAATGCTTCTTACTGGCCTATATAGTTTTGTATACTTATTTACATGCCTTTGGTATCATAAACCAAATTTCCTCTTTGGTGTATTTGATGAATGGAGAAGATCTAACTTTAAAACACTGCTAAAATTAAATCATAGCTGTTAATACCAGGTTCTGATATTTCTGTGAAATGTGGCTGAAAAAATAAGAGTTTGGCTGAGTCATCAGGAATCCATGGTCTCGTCCTTTGCTTTGCAGACTTAAATATTTGATTTTTTTCTGTCATCCATCAGTGTTAATGTTCTGGTAAATAGATTCAGAGTAACAGATATACAGGAGATTGATCTGTTGTGTGGAATATTAATTTACAAAGAGATAGACATTTTTACATTGACCACAGGACTTGTAATCATTATTCAGAGCATCTTCTTCCTGGTAGGATACCTGAAAAACCAATTTGGTCATCAGAACATGGATTGGTGAGCATGGAAACAGAACAAATTACCTGCATTGGTTTGGGGGATGGTTTACTCAGGCCATAGTAAGTCTAGGAAGTTCTTCCTGCTCTATTTCTGCTGTTTGGATATTCATCCATCAGTTCCATCAGTACTATTTTTTAGTATCTTTACGATATCTTTAGTCTTTTGGAAAGTAATAGACAAATTCTTTCCTTCTCATTTTTTCCCCCAATATAATGTGTACAGACTACTTCTGTTAGAAACTCATTAAGACATATATTATTGTCATTATTTTGATTGATAATTATCTGCTGTTGCTGACAGTTTACTCTTGATGAAATTTGAAAACAATTCAAGTCTTTGTAAAACTGTGATACAGATTCTCTTCCTTTTTTGATGTTAACATCTTGAAGAAATCTGCAAGGTCTCTAATGGATAGATTCAGCCCTTTGGTGTTGTGGCTTTAGATTCAGATTCTGGTTCTGCCACCAAGTAGCTGAGTAAGTTGCACATGCCACTTGATCTCTTTAAGCTTGTATTTTCTTATTGGTGTACCTTCTCTTGTACGGATGATGAGGCAATTATGAATTAATGTGTTTAAAATATCTGAGCAGTGCAAAAGAAATGTATTTGTATAAAGTCGATCCATTCATCCTTTTAACAAGTATTAATTGAACAATCTACTGTGTCCCAGGCAGTTTGCTATGTATTGGGTTATAACACTGACCATGATAGTCATAATCCCTGCACTCATGCCATGTATAGTACAGTGGGGAAGAGAGACACACAAACAGGCAATTATAAAACTGTGTAGTAAGTGCTATAATAAGTGACAGAGCATTTTTATAAGTGTTTTTAGAGGTGCTTTAAAAAATGCAGCACCAAAATGTTTAAGGCTTTTTAAGGCTTGAATGCCCCAATTCACTAACTGGCTGGTTCATTTCTGTTAGTTGAGTTGAATGTATGCATAACTTGTTATATGAAGGGAATGTTGTATGAAACATAGTTTATCAGAATTCAGTTTTGGTGTGGCTTCTACACTTCATCTTTTTTTTAAATTTAAGTTTTAACAAAAACTTTTAAAGAAAAGTTATTTAAGAAACTGAGAATGGGTAAGCAATTGATTGATATTTTCAAATACTAAACCGCTGTTTGACAAAATGTGCATGCACCTACACTGTGGCACTGGCATTTATAAGCATTTATAAACATGTGAGTAGATTGCATAGTGTAGAGTCATGTGGCAACTTCTTTTGGGAAACAGTAGAGAGACATGATTTTTCTGAGTACACACTGCCAATTCAAGCATCTGTGTAGGTTGTGATAACCAGAGTAATGATGTTAAAAAGAACAACACACTAAGCTTAGTAAGGTTTAGTATAATTCAATCATCTTTTTAACAACACTAAAACTTCTGCACTGAGTTAAAGTGGTTTTCTAAGAATACCACCACCTAGATGGGGCAGGTGGTGGGCAAGGCTCCTTTTCCACTATACTCGTGCTTCTCAAACTTTAATCAATGTAAGAATCACCCAAGATACTCTGTAAAATGTAGATTCTAGAATCCTACTTCTAGAAAGTCTGATTCAGTAGTCTGAGACAGAGTCTAAAAACCTGTATTTTAAACAAGCATCTCAGGTAAATCTGATGTAGGAAGGATGAGGACAACACCGTAAACACTTTAATACACCATTCCTGTCTCCTGTGCTTTCTGTAATAGTGACTTGTCTAGCGGCAGCTCAAGCCCTTCTCTCTCCATAATTTTGAAGTTGGTGGTATTTTTGAAATGATGTTGTTGTCACCATTGAAGCACTGACAATAATAGTGTGCTTCGTTGTGCGTCAGGTCCTCTAAATACTCTGCCTTTTTTTTTTTTTGAGATAGTGTCTTACCCTGCCACCTAGGCTAGAGTGCAGTGGTGAGATCTCGGCTCACTGTAACCTTGACCTCCCAGGCTCAAGCGTTTCTCCCACCTCAGACTCCTGAGTAGCTGGGACTACAGGGGCATGCCACCATGCCTGATTGATTTTTCTGTATGTTTTTTGTAGACATGGGGTTTCGTCATGTTGCCCAGGCTGGTCTTGAACTCTTGAGCTCAAGTGATCCACCGACCTTGGCCTCCCAAAGTGCTGGGATTACAGGCGTGAGGCACCATGCCTGGCCCAAGTACAAATTTTATGGCTATTTTACCCATTCATGGGAGAAATAGTTTTTTTGGAGACAGAGTCTCACTCTGTTGCCCAGGCTGGAGTGTAGTGGCAACATCTTGGCACACTGCAACCTCTGCCTGCTGGGTTCAAGCCATTCTCATGACTCAGCCTCCCGAGTAGCTGAGACTACAGGCAGGTGCCACCAGGCTTGGTTAATTTTTGTGTTTTTTGGTAGAGATGGGGTTTCACCATGTTGGCCGGACTGGTCTCAAACTCCTGACCTCAAGTGATCCGCCTGCCTTGGCCTCCCAGAGTGCTGGGATCACAGGTGTGAGCCACCGCGCCCAGCCAGGAAGAAGTTTTTCTCAAGAAAACAAGATAATAATAAAGGCAGCCAGGTGTGGTGGCTCACACCTGTAATCCCAGTACTTTGGGAGGCCGAGGCAGGCAGATCACTTGAGGTCAGGAGTTCCAGAACAGCCTGGCCAACATGGTGAAACCCCATCTCTACTAAAAATAGAAAAATTAGCTGGGTATGGTGGTGTGGCCTGTAATCCCAGCTGCTTGGGAGGCTGAGGTGAGAGAATTGCTTGAACTGGGGAGGCAGAGGTTGCAGTGAGCTGAGATCACACCACTGCACTCCAGCATGAGTGACAGAGTGAGACTCTGTCTCCAAAAATAAATAAGTAAATAAATAAATAAAGCAAAATTCCGGATAGTGGTTACCTTAGGAGAAAAAGGAAGGTGAAAGGAGGTTCCAAGATGGCCAAATAGGAACAGCTCCAGTCTGTAGCTCCCAGTGTGAGCAATGCAGAAGACGGGTGATTTCTGCATTTCCAACAGAGGTACCAGGTTCATCTCACTGGGGCTTGTTGGACAGTGGGTGCAGCCCACGGAGTGTGAGCCGAAGCAGGGCGGGGCATTGCCTCACCCGGGAAGCACAAGGGGTTGGGGAATTTCCTTTCCTAGCCAAGGGAAGCTGTGACAGACGGTACCTGGAAAATCGGGACACTCCCACCCTAATACTGCGCTTTTCCAATGGTCTTAGCGAACGGCACACCAGATTAATCCCGCGCCTGGCTTGGAGGGTCCCACGGCCACGGAGCCTTGCTCACTGCTAGCACAGCAGTCTGAGATCGAACTGCAAGGCCACAGCAAGGCTGGGGGAGGGGCGTCCGCCATTGCTGAGGCTTGAGTAGGTAAACAAAGTGGCCCGGAAGCTCGAACTGGGTGGAGCCCACTGCAGCTCAAAGAGGCCTGCCTGCCTCTGTAGACTCCACCTCTAGGGGCAGGGCACAGTTGAACAAAAGGCATCAGAAACTTCTGCAGACTTAAACTTCCCTGTCTGACAGCTTTGAAGAGAGTAGTGGTTCTCCCAGCACAGAGTTTGAGATCTGAGAATGGATGACAGACTGCCTCCTCAAGTGGGTCCCTGACCACTGAGTAGCCTAACTGGGAGACACCTCCCAGTAGGGGCTGACTGACACCTCATTCAGCCGGGTGCCCCTCTGAGACAAAGCTTCCAGAGGAAGGATAAGGCAGCAACATTTGCCGTTCTGCAATATTTGCTTTTCTGCTGCCTCTGCTGTTGATACCCAGGCAAACAGGGTCTGGAGTGGACCTCCAGCAAACTCCAACAGACTTGCAACTGAGGGTCCTGACTGTTAGAAGGAAAACTAACAAACAGAAAGGACATCCACACCAAAACCCCGTCTGTACGTCAACATCATCAAAGACCAAAGGTAGATAAAAACACAAAGATGGCGAGAAACCAGAGCAGAAAGCTGAAAATTCTAAAAATCAGAGTGCCTCTTCTCCTCCAGAGGAATGCAGCTCCTCACCAGCAACGGAACAAAGCTGGATGGAGAATGACTTTGACGAGTTGAGACAAGAAGGCTTCAGACAATCGGTAATAACAAACTTCTCCGAGCTAAAGGGGGATCTTCAAACCCATCGCAAAGAAGCTAAAAACCTTGAAAAAAGATTAGACGAATGGCTAACCAGAATAAACAGCGTAGAGAAGACCTTAAATGACCTGATGAAGCTGAAAACCATGGCATGAGAACTACATGATGCATGCACAACCTTCAATAGCTGATTTGATCAACTGGAAGAAAGGGTATCAGTGATTGAAGCTCAAATGAATGAAATGAAGCAAGAAGAGAAGTTTAGAGAAAAAAGAGCAAAAAGAAACAAACAAAGCCTCCAAGAAATATGGGACTATGTGAAAAGACCAAATCTGCATCTGATTGGTGTACCTGAAAGTGACGAGAAGACTGGAACCAAGTTGGAAAACACTCTAAAGGATATTACCCAGGAGAACTTCCCCAACCTAGCAAGGCAGGCCAACATTCAAATTCAGGAAATACAGAGAACACCACAAAGATACTCCTCGAGAAGAGCAACTCCAAGACACATAATTGTCAGATTCACCAAAGTTGAAATGAAGGAAAAGATGTTAAGGGTAGCCAGAGAGAAAGGTCGAGTTACCCACAAAGGGAAGTCCATCAGACTAACAGCGGATCTCTGGGCAGAAACTCTACCAGCCAGAAGAGAGTGGGGTCCAATATTCAACATTCTTAAAGAAAAGAATTTTCAACCCAGAATTTCATATCCAGCCAAACTAAGCTTCATAAGTGTAGGAGAAATAAAATCCCTTACAGACAAGCAAATGCTGAGAGATTTTGTTACCACCAGGCCTACCTTACAAGAGCTTCTGAAGGAAGCACTAAACGTGGAAAGGAACAACCAATACTGGACACTGCAAAAACATGCCAAATTGTAAAGACAATCGATGCTAGGAAGAAACTGCATCAACTAATGAGGAAAGTAACCAGCTAACATCATGAAGACAGGATCAAATTCACACATAACAATATTAACCTTAAATGTAAATGGGCTAAATGCTCCAATTAAAAGACACAGACTGGCAAATTGGATAAAGAGTCAAGACCCATCAGTGTGCTGTATTCAGGAAACCCATCTCATGTGCAGAGACACACATAGGCTCAAAATAAAGGGACGGAGGGATATTTAGAAGGCAAATGGAAAGCAAAAAAAAAGGCAGGGGTTGCAATCCTAGTCTCTGATAAAACAGACTTTAAACCAACAAAGATCAAAAGAGACAAAGAAGGCCATTACATAATGGTAAAGGGATCAATTCAACAAGAAGAGCTAACTATCCTAAATATATGTGCACCCAATACAGGAGCACCTAGATTCATAAAGCAGATCCTTAGAAACCTACAAAGAGACTTAGACGCCCAAACAATAATAATGGGAGACTTTAACACCCCACTATCAACATTAGACAGATCAATGAGACAGAAAGTTAACAAGAATATCCAGGAATTGAACTCAGCTCTGCACCAAGCAGATCTAATAGACATCTACAGAACCCTCCACCCCAGGTCAGCAGAATATACATTCTTCTCAGCACCACATCACACTTATTCCAAAATTGACCACATAGTTGGAAGTAAAGCGCTCCTCAGCAAATGTAAAAGAACAGAAATTATAACAAACTGTCTCTCAGACCACAGTGCAATCAAACTAGAACTCAGGATTAAGAAGCTCACTCGAAACCACTCAACTACATGGAAACTGAACAACCTGCTCCTGAATGACTACTGGGTATATAACGAAATGAAGGCAGAAATAAAGATGTTCTTTGAAACCAATGAGAACGAAGACACAACATACCAGAACCTCTGGGACACTTTTAAAGCTGTGTGTAGAGGGAAATTTATAGCACTAAATGCCCACAAGAGAAAGCAGGAAAGATCTAAAATTGACACCCTAACATCACAATTAAAAGAACTAGATAAGCAAGAGCAAACACATTCAAAAGCTAGCAGAAGGCAAGAAATAACTAAGATCAGAGCAGAACTGAAGGAGATAGAGACACAAAAAAACCTTCAAAAAAATCAATGAATCCAGGAGGTGATTTTTGAAAAGATCAGCAAAATTGATAGCAGGACTAATAAAGAAGAAAAGAGAGAAGAATCAAATAGATGCAATAAAAAATGATAAAGGGGATATCACCACCAATCCCACAGAAATGCAAACTACCATCAGAGAATACTATAAACAACTCTATGAAAAAAAACTAGAAAATCTAGAAGAAATGGATAAATTCCTTGACACATGCACCCTCCCAAGACTAAACCAGGAAGAAGTTGAATCCCTGAATAGACCAATAACAGGCTCTGAAATTGAGGCAATAATTAATAGCCTACCAACCAAAAAAGTCCAGGACCAGATGGATTCACAACCGAATTCTACCAGAGGTACAAGGAGGAGCTGGTTCCATTCCTTCTGAAATTATTCCAATCAATAGAAAAAGAGGGAATCCTCCCTAACTCATTTTATGAGGCCAGCGTCATCCTGATACCAAAGCTCGGCAGAGACACAACCAAAAAAGAGAATTTTAGACTAATATCCCTGATGAACATCGATGCAGAAATCCTCAATAAAATACTGGCAAAGCAAATGCAGCAGCACATCAAAAAGTTTATACACCACGATCAAGTTGTCTTCATCCGTAGGATGCAAGGCTGGTTCAACTTACGCAAATCAATAAACGTAATCCGTTGTGTAAACAGAACCAAAGACAAAAACCACATGATTATCTCAGTAGATGCAGTAAAGACCTTCAACAAAATTCTATAGCCCTTCATGCTAAAAACTCTCAATAAACTAGGTGTTGATGGGACGTATCTCAAGATAATAAGAGCTATTTATGACAAACCCACAGCCAATATCATACTGAATGCACAAAAACTGGTAGCATTCCCTTTGAAAACTGTCACAAGACAGGGATGCCCTCTCTCACCACTCCTCTTCAACATAGTGTTGGAAGTTCTGGCCAGGGCAACCAGGCAGGAGAAATAAAGAAAGGGGATTCAATTAAGAAAAGAGGAAGTCAGATTGTCCCTGTTTGCAGATGACATGATTGTGTATTTAGAAAACCCCATCGTCTCAGCCCAAAATCTCCTTAAGCTGATAAGCAACTTCAGCAAAGTCTCAGGATACAAAATCAATGTGCAAAAATCACAGGCATTCCTATACACCAATAACAGACAAACAGAGAGCCGAATCATGAGTGAACTCCCATTCACAATTGCTTCAAAGAGAACAAAATACCTAGGAATCCAACTTACAAGGGACGTGAAGGACCTCTTCAAGGAGAACTACAAACCACTGCTCAATGAACTAAAAGAGGATACAAACAAATGGAAGAACATTCCATGCTTATGGATAGGAAGAATCAACATTGTGAAAATGGCCATACTGCCCAAGATAATTTATAGATTCAATGCCATCCCCATCAAGCCACCAATGACTTTCTTCACAGAATTGGAAAAAAGAACTTTAAAGTTCATATGGAACCAAAAAAGAGCCTGCATTGCCAAGACAATAGTAAGCCAAAAGAACAAAGCTGGAGGCATCACGTTACCTGACTTCAAACTATACTACAAAGCTACAATAACCAAAACAGCATGGTACTGGTACCAAAACAGAGATGTAGACCAATGGAATACAACAGAGCCCTCAGAAATAATACCACACATCTACAACCATCTGATCTTTGACAAACCTGATAAAAACAAGAAATGGGGAAAGGATTCCCTATTTAATAAATGGTGCTGGGAAAACTGGCTAGCCATATGTAGAAAGCTGAAACTGGATCCCTTCCTTACACCTTATACAAAAATTAATTCAAGGTGGATTAAAGACTCAAATGTTAGACGTAAAACCATAAAAACCCTAGAAGAAAACGTAGGCAATACCATTCAGGACTTAGGCATGGGCAAGGACTTCATGACTAAAACACCAAAAGCAATGGCAACCAAAGCCAAAATTGACAAACGGGATCTAATTAAACTAAAGAGCTTCTGCACAGCAAAAGAAACTGCCATCAGAGTGAACAGGCAACCTACAGAATGGGAGAAAAATTTTGCAATCTACCCATCTGACAAAGGGCTAATATCCAGAATCTACAAAGAACTTAAACATATTTACAAGAAAAAATCAACCCCATCAAAAAGTGGGTGAAGGATATTAACAGACACTTCTCAAAAGAAGACATTTATGCAGCCAACAGACACATGAAAAAATGCTCATCATCACTGGCCATCAGAGAAATGCAAATTAAAACCACAATCAGATACCATCTCACAGTTACAATGGTGATCATTAAAAAGTCAGGAAACTGCAGGTGCTAGAGAGGATGTGGAGAAATAGGAATACTTTTACACTGTTGGTGGGACTGTAAACTAGTTCAACCATTGTGGAAGACAGTGTGGCGATTCCTCAAGGATCTAGAACTAGAAATACCATTTGACCCAGCCATCCCATTATTGGGTATATATCCAAAGGATTATGAATCATGATGCTTTAAAGACACATGCACACATGTTTATTGCGGCACTATTCACAATAGCAAAGACTTGGAACCAACCCAAATGTCCATCAATGATAGACTGGATTAAGAAAATGTGGCACATGTACACCATGGGATACTATGCAGCCATAAAAATGGATGAGTTCATGTCCTTTGTAGGGACACGGATGAAGGTGGAAACCATCATTCTGAGCAAACGATCGCAAATACAGTAAAACAGACACCACATGTTCTCACTCATAGGTGGGAATTGAACAATGAGAACACTTGGACACAGGGTGGGGAACATCACACACCGGGGCCTGTTGTGGGGTGGGGGGCTGGTGTTGGGATAGCATTAGGAGATAAACCTAATGTAAATGATGAGTTAATGGGTGCAGCACACCAACATGGCACATGTATAGATATGTAACAAACCTGCACATTGTGCACAAGTACCCTAGAACTTAAAGTATATTAAAAAAAGGAAAAAAAAAAGGAAAAAAATAGGAAATATTATTCAGATGGCTTAAAAGATATTGATAATGTATTTTTTTAGTTGGGTAGTAGTTATATTTGTTTCAGGAGGTTTGTGGAAACTGGCAGTTCATCTTTGCTCAAAATACGGAAAAGTGAAATGTAAACATTATTATTTAGGACCATTAGTAATATTTATAAGCAGGAAGATTTCTACCCTTGAGATGGTAAATGCCCAAATAAAATCCACTAGGGAAATATTTGCAAACTTTGTTTTGATGACATAGGTAGGAAAATCTCAGCACAACTAGATATTACTGAGGGCTTGTCTTAAACAGGATTTTAGGAAAGTAAACATGCATACATAATGAAGTATACATAACATAAAATCTATCATTTTAATAATTTTAAAATGTATTGTTCTGTTGAATTAAGTACATTGAAATTGCTTTGTGTCCATTACCACCATTCATCTCCAGAACTTTTTCGTCTTCTCAAACTGAAACTCCTTGCCAATTAAACTTTAATTCCTCATTTCCCCATTCCCCAGCTCTGGCAGCCACCATTCTACTTTCTGTCTCTATGAATTTGACTACTCTAGTACCTCATATAAGTAGAATCATACAGTATTTGTCCCTTTGTGTCTGGCTTATTTCATTAATGTCTTCAGGGTGCATCCACACTGTAGCATGTTCAGAATTTCCCACCTTTCAAAGGCTGAATAATACTCTCTTGTATGTACAGACCACATTTTGTTTATTCATCTATCAATGGACATTTAGGTTGTTTCCACCTTTCGGTTATTGTGAATAATGCTGCTATGAACGTTGATATACAAATATCTGTTGGAATCCCTGTTTTCATTTAGTTTTTGGAATATATACCCGGAAGTGGAATTGTTAGATCATATGTTAATTCTAAATTTAATTTTTTGAGGGCTGCCATACTTATGTAGAAGTTTTATACAGTTTTCATGTACGTAGCTTGTTTTGTGAGGTTCCAGTAGAGAGACTTGGAAGCCAAGTATCCTGTATGTGCAACCTGTAGAGAGAACATGCTGGAAACCAAGCCAGCAGGAGACTAGAAATAACAGAGTGGAGACTCTTCCCTAATTTCTTGTTAAGGGAGCCAGGGATAATTCAGTTCTTTGCTAATTAGTATCTGTTGCTGCTATTGGACTTGTCACCAGATGTATATTACAATATCACTAATGTGGTTGGTTAGCAAATTGAATTTTTTCTTTTATCTTTCTTCCTTAAAATTCCCTTTTTCTCCTGATGTCCTCTATTTATTGCCATTTTTATTAGGTGCCCAAATGTTTCAACATTTTTTGTTATGAAACTGGAATTTTTGCTAGTGCATGTACAGTGATTTAATTTATACATATACTAAAGATACATCATTTAATTCCTTTGAAAGACATTTATTACCATTAACTACACTAGATATAGTTATAAGATGACAGAGCTACAAAAATGGACAAGACACCAGTCATATCTTGAGGAGACTATATAAAGACACAGTGTGCTAATCATTATAATTTATAAGTATCTCAGGAACTTTGAGATACAAAGTCCTAAGAAAACACAGGTAAGTAACTCTTTCGAGGGTTAGAGGGTAGGGATAATTAAGGAAGGCTTTAGTTAATGAAATATCTTGGCTGGCAGAGAAGATGATAAACAAGGAAATAACATAGGAAACAACTTGAGCAAAAGGTGTGAGAGTAGTTTGAATATGCATTAGATATGAACAGGTATCTGTGTTGTGCACTGGGGATAAAAAGATGACTTAAGACAGTTCCTACATTTCAAGAGATAAGAATCTAGTAGGGGAGATAGAAGATAGGTATGTAAACAAAATTATAGTCTGATAAGTGCCCAGGTTTTGTTGGAGAGTAATAAGGAGAAGGACCAAGATTACCAGAAATAACACCCAAATTGTGTAGTTGGATAGCTGTGATTTGACTGAAACTCTCACCACAAATGAGTTAATGTAGGATTTTTATTAATATTCTTGAGTTCGGCATTTCCAGATTCAACCAACCACAAATTGAAAATATTCGGGAGAAAACCCAACACAATAAAAATAATATATATAAAAAACAGATACAGTATAACAGCTACTTACATATCATTTACATTGTATTAGGTATTATCAGTAATCTAGAGATGATTTAAAGTATACTGGAGGATGTGCATAAGTTATATGCAAATACTATGCCATTTTATAGACGAGACTTGCATTCTCAGATTTTGGTATCCAAGGGAGGGGTACTGGAACCAATCCCCATGGATACCAAGAGACAACTGCATATAGTTTGTGTGACTTTGAATAAAGGGAGGTGAGTTTAGGGCAGTACATGTCCAAAATAGAGTGTGAGCCACATATGTAATTTAAAAATTTTAAGTAGCCCTACTTTTAAAGAAAGTAAGAATAGATGAATTAAATTTAATAATACATTTCATTTAACCCAGTGTATCCAGAGTATTATTTTAACATGTAATCAACATAAAAATTATTAATGAAATGTTTTCTTTAATTTCTAAGAAATGTAGTGTGTATTTTGTACTTACTGCACATCTCAGTTCTTATTACACATATTTCAGATGCTTGGTAGTCACATGTGGTTAGTGGCTACCATATTAGATAGCACAGGTTTTAAGATTCTATTAAAAGCATTAGAATTTCTGGAATAGTTTTAAAAAATCCTTTAAGTACTTTGCCTTTTATAATTATGGAAGGATCTTGTTTACAGTAATCAACTGATCACCTCTATCTGACATGGACTGAAATCCTTATATTAGTAGGATTTATGAGGAACTTTGAGAGTGATGCAATAACAAAAGTTACTTTCTTCGGAAGTTCATTATTTCCTAATGAAAATTAGGTACTTTGTAATTTCATTAATCAAAGCTATCTAGAGATGGTTTACAGTGTGCAAAGATGCTTGAAGAGCTGTTCTAAAAGATCTGCTTATAGTACTTCTAAACCATGTGATTGTTAACTGGCTGTAACAGGGTTTGTTGTTGTTGTTTTTGAGACAGGGTCTCACTCTGTTGCTCAGGTTGGAGTGCAGTGGCATGATCTTGGCCCACTGCAGCCTCTGCCTCCTGGGTTCAAGTGATTCTCCAGCCTCACCTTCCCTAGTAGCTGGGACCTCAAGCATGCACCACCATGCCCGACACATTTTTGTATTTTTTGTAGACAGGGTTTTACCATGTTGCCTAGGCTGGTATTGAACTCCTGAGCTCAAAGTGATCCACCTGCCTTGGCTTCCCAAAGTGCTGAGATTACAGGCATGAGTCTGCCTGAGCCACTGTGGCCAGCCAACAGTTTTTTTTTTCTTTTTAAATTTTTAAATTTTATTTTATAGAACCTAGGTCTTGCTATGTTGCCCAGGCTGATCTCAAACTCCTGGGCTCAAGCAATCTTCCCACCTTGGCCTCCCAAAGTGCTGGGCTTGCAGGAATGAGCCACCATGTTCAGCCCTGTAACATTTGGCTTTAATGAGGCACAAATGTGTTTTGGGGAAGCTGAAGTATTATTTATAATAAAATTACTTGGAATTAAAATAATTGATCTTTCATTGTTTATTCCCTTCTTCCCCATCCCCTTAAGGGGCCCTGGGTTCTGTCTTTTTCTCTTTTGATGGTTTTTGTTGCCTTTTTCTGAGAACAATAAATCTTAGCCCTGCAGGTGGAATCCTAACCATTCCAAGCAGGATTATATTTTTTAAGAGGAAGTAAGTAGCTGGATTAGAAGAACATAGATTCAGATTATTTTCATACAGATGTTATTAATGAAAAACAAGTAGATAAATATATAATACATTTTGAAATACTTCCATATTTTTCTATCTACTTTTTTTAATGTTTTAAACAATTCACTGTCACATCAAGATCAAATCTTTAAATTGTAACAGTACCTGGGGAAGTGATTTTACCTCTATTAGAAATCACATCAAGATCAAATCTTTAAATTGTAACAGTACCTGGGGAAGTGATTTTACCTCTATTAGAAATCTATATAGTTATACATAGCATATGTATATGTATACCCACACACACATAAATAGAATTTACTAAGTGAAAGATGAACGTGAATAAATACTCATTTGAGGCTATACTATATATTAGTACTGATGATATTTATAAAAAATGACGATTTATATTGGAAACCTTTGTATTTAACTGAAAGGGAAATGTGAAAAAGAGACTTACTGAGCATGTGCTGTGAGCTTGTTGCTTAATTTATCTCATTTAGTTTTCACAACCTCATAAGGAAGTTATTATTTTTCTCTGTAGATAATAGAGAGGTGAAGTAACTTGCTCTGGCTTGTAAAGTTTGTGAATTCAAAGTGTGTGAATTTGGAGTCAGACTGGTCTGACTCCAAAGCCTATGCTCTTTGCTCGGTCACTCTCAAAATTGCTTCTATCCATCCATCTGTCCATCAATCCATCATAACTCTGTTTAATGCAGGGAATTAAGAAGAAAACAATAATCACCATTGCAACAAAAAACACCTTAATTTCCCCAAAGATTAGAATAATTGAAGAGAAACAAAATTGAAAGCAATAAAAATGAAAAACAGTATTTTCTAAGATTGTGAGATGTAATATATTTTATGTGAAATGAAGCTTTTAGTCTTCATTAAGTTAGTTTAGAAAAGTTGTAAGAATTTCTTTTATGAAGTGTTTAGGTAGGCTTTAATATGCTAAAATTCATTGTAAGTGTCTGAGAGAGAGAATGTATACAGTTTCCTAGCTTACTTGCCATGAAACCCATTTTTCCAGGCATTTCTCAGATGATTAAAATTTTTTGAGAAATGCTAGAGCTATTAACAAAAAATGAAGAAAAAGTAAAGTAAATGGAAAGTATTTATGAAGTAAAATATCTCTAGCACTCACACAAAGCATAGACTATTTCTTCTTCCCACCAGCTGAATGAAAATACTTTATAATAAATGGAACATCCTAAATAAATAAATGGGCACCCTAGTGTACTCAGAAGGATATTGCCTTAGTAGTAGGGGGGAAAATAGCCCTAATACTAACGCTTTCTCTGGTGGTACCTAACAAAACTTAGAAAGAAGCCTGAGAAAGATCAATTATTTTCAAGCATCTCAGAGCAAAGCTCAAGAATATTTAAAGGAGGCTGGGCGTGGTGGCTCACGCCTGTAATCCCAGCACTTTGGGAGGCGAGGTGGGTGGATCACAAGGTCAGGAGCTCAAGACCAGCCTGGCCAACATGGTGAAACCCTGTCTTTACTAAAAATACAAAAATTAGCTGGGTGTGGTGGCACGCGCCTGTATTCCCAGCTACTCGGGAGGCTGAGGCAGGAGAATTGCTTGAACATGGGAGGCACAGGTTGTTGCCACTGCACTCCAGCTTGGGTGACAGAGTGAGACTCTGTCTCAAAATATATATATTTAAAGGAATACAGAAATGTCTAACATGTAACAAGGATAAAAGTCACAGTATTTGGACCCAATCAAAAATTACCAAGCATGTAAGAAGCTAGAAAATATGACCCATAATCATGAGAAAAATCAGTAGAGAGAGACCTAGAAATGATATAGATGATAGAAGGTCATTAAAAGTTATACCTATATTTCATATGTTTAAGACAGTAGAGGAAAGCATGAATAGGTTAAGGAAAGATATGGAACATGTGAAAAGTCCTAAATCAAACATCTTCAGATGAACAGCATAATGTCTTAGATGAAAAATGCAATGAGTGAGATTAACAGCAGAGTAGACATTGCAGAGGAAAAATACTAGTGAACTTGTATACTAGTGAACTTGTATACTAGTGAATTCCAGAGAAGTAGGAATTATGCAAAACAAAACAGAGAAAAAGCTGGAAAAAAAAGAGGAGCAGTGATTTGTGGGACAACTTCAAGCAGTCTAAAAAACGTGTAATTGGAATCTGCAGAAGGCAGAAATGGGAGGGGAGAGAAGACAAAAATATTTGAGGAAATAACCACCAACATTTTCCAAATTAGAGGAAAACCATAAACCAACATATCAAAGAAGTCATTGAACCCCAAACACAGGGAACATGAAGAAAACTAGAAAGCATCAAATCAAATTGCTTAAAACCTGTGAAAATCGAAAAATTTAAGAACAGTCAAAGGAAAAGATATACACAAAGTTAACAAAGATAAGACTGACAGAAGACTTCCAATAATAATGCAAGCCAAAAGTCAGTGAAGGAATATCTTTGTTTTTAAAGTGTATGGTATAGTTTTTTGTGGTCTGTCCTGGAGAATGCCCTATTCTCTCCCTTCTATAGGAAACATTACAGAAATTATCTTTTATTTTTTCATTGTAAAAAATAGAAGTAAATGTGTCTATATTTTCATATATGAATAATAAATGGTAGCATATTATACAGAATTTTCTATGCTGTGTTTTTCATTCAAGGATATATTCTGGAGATTTCTTCATTGTAGAATATAGGACAAGCTCAAATATACGTAAATATTTAATGTGTCTATCTGTATAGGTATAGATATCAGCTTATTTCTTTTATAGCTGCATAGTACTCCTAGAGTTTTTTGTTGTTGTTGTTGTTGTTTTTCAAGAGGTGGAGTCTTGCTCTGTTTGTCTAGGCTGGAGGGCAGTGCCTGTTCACAGGCATGATCATAGCACATTATATCTTCTAACTTCTGAGCTCAAGTGATCCTCCCATCAGCCTCCTGGGTAGCTGGGACTACAGGAATGCACCACCATGCCTGGCTGGAGTATTTTTAAAATGCAAACCCCAGACATAGTATTTCACTTGAAACTAATGCTGTTGCTGTGTAGCAAACAACTTCATAGTAAAGTGGCTGAAAACAACAATTATTTATTCTCATTCAGATATTTGCCAGGAGTTGGCTGATTGTTTGGGTGACTGTTTCAAGTTGCAGATCTGGTTGGATGGAACAGATTGGGCTCAGATATGTTCCATGTGCATTTATCCTGATATCCTCTGATGAGATCACAGATAAATCAAAGATCTTATGATCATGATGACACAAAGTTAAGACTGCAAGCAGAAACTCATGGTACTTCTCAAGGCATAGGCTCAGAATTGTCACAATGTGACTTCTGACCATGTTTTGCATTGATAGAGTAAAGTCATATGTCTGAGCCTAGTGAATGGAAAATATATGTTAGCAGGAGGGACTATAGAGTTGAATGGTATGGATGCATGGAAGGTTGAAGAATTGGGTTCAATACCACAGTCCATTTTGTCCTTGTTCTATAAAATTAGAAATGTTTTTAGGTCGACTTTATAGTGAACATTTACACTGTCAGCCATTTTTCTCATTTATTATAGCTTTGGAGATAATAAAATACATAGGATATAGTGTGAGGAGTCACATTGGAAGTGACCTAGTCCAGTTCCCTCTGAAAATAGCCATATATTTTATAATACCTCTGAAAAGATCAGCTGGCCACTTAAAAAATTCATTTATTTTTTCATCTACATGTTTATCCATTTATTTAATATAGGAAAAGGAATATAGATGTGTCTTTCCAGAATGTTTAAATTGTGGGAACAGACAATCACACTCTCCTCTGCCCATGCACATCAGTGCATATTGGATAAGTGGTGTATTAAATGGTGAAAGTTTGACACTACCTCATAAGGGGGTAGTGATATGAGGGGAGTTATTCATAGATGACATCTAAACAATATTGTGTGTTCCTGTCTATGAACATGGACTATCTCTCCATTTATTTATATATTCTTTAATTTATTTCATTAGACTTTTATAGTTTTCCTCATATAGATTTTGCACATATTTTATTAGATTTATACCCATGTATTTCATTTTTAATTGGAGCTAATGTAAATAGTGTTGTGTTGAAATGTGTTGAAATTCCACTTGTTTATTGCTGGTATGTAGGAAAGCAATTGACTTTTTCTTTTCTTTGTGTTTTTTTTTGGTTAAATACACATAATGTAATATTCACCATCTGAAGCCATTTTTAAATATACAGATCCAGTGGTATTAAGTATAGTTAAATTGTGCAACCATCACCATCATCCATCTCCGTAACTCTTCTTCATCTAGCAAAACTGAAACTCTGTATGCATTAAACACAAATTTTCCATGCCCCTCACACCATTGTCTGACGGTCACCATTTTATTTTCTGTCTCTAAGAGTTTTACTACTTTAGGTACTTCATTTTAGTGGAATGATACAGTCAGTATTTGCCTTTTTGTAACTGGCTTATTTCATTTAGCATAATGTCCTTAAAGGTTGATTCATGTTGTAGCGTATGTCAGAATTTCCTGCCTTTTTAGGGATGAGTGATATTCTGTTGCACATATATTCCACATTTTCTTTATCCATTTAACATCCATTCATGGACACTTAGGTTGCTTCCATATCTTGGCTATTATGAATATTGCTGCAGTGAACATGGGAATGTGGATATTCCTTTTACATCTTTTCTCATTTTTCTTTTTTTAAAAAACATAGGTGTATGTATTTATGGGGCACATGAGATATTTTGATACAGGCATACACTGTAGTAATCACATCAGGGTAAATAGGGTATCCATCATTTCAAGCATTTATCCTTTGTGTTACAAACAATCCATATACTCTTTTTTTTTAGACAGGGTCTCACTCTATCATCCAGGCTGGAGTGCAGTGGTGCAATCATGGCTCACCGCAGCCTCAACCTCCCGGGCTCAGGTGACCCAACTAAGCCTCTCGAGTAGCAAGCTGGGACTGCAGGCATGCACCACCATGCTGGGCTAATTTTTCTATTTTTTGATAACAAACAAGGATGATTTGATTTCTTCCTTTCCAATTTGGATACCCTTTATTTGTTTCCCTTGTCTGATTGCTCTAGCTAGTACTTCCAGTACTGTGTCGAATAGCAGTGGTGAAAGTGGGCATCCTTGTGTTCCCAATCTTAGAAGAAAGACTTTTAGTTTTTCACCATTCAGTATGATGCTAGCTGTGGGTTTGTCATACATGGCTTTTCTTATGTTGAGTTATGTTCTCTCTATACCCAGTGTGTTGAGGCTTTTTTTTTAAAATCATGAAGGGATGTTGAATTTTATCAAATGCTTTTTCAGTATCTATTGCAGTGAACATATGGTTTTTGTCCTTCATTCTGTCGATATGATGTGTCACATAGATTGATTTGTGTATATTGAACCACCCTTGCATCTCTGGGATAAATATCACTTGGTCATGATGAATGATTTTTTGATGTGTTGTTGAATTCAGTTTGTTAGTATTTTGTTAAGGATTTTTGCGTCAATGTTCATCAGGGATGTTGGCCTGTAGTTTTTTGTTTGTTTGTTTGTTATTTGTTTTTGTTTTTTGATGTGTCTTTGGTTTTGCTATCAAGGTAACACTGGCCTCATAGAATGAGTTTGTAAGTATTCTCCTCTGTTTTTTGTAATAGTTCGAGTGGGATTGGTATTAGTTCTTCTTTAACTGTTTGGTAAGATTCAGTGAAGCCATCAGGTAAAGCCGTCGGGTCCCAGGGGTTTCTTTTCTGGCAGACTTTTTATTGCAGCTTTGATCTTGTTACTTGTTACTGGTCTATTCACATTTTGGATTTCCCCAGGGTTCAGTCTTGGTAGGTGGTATGAGTTTAGAAATTGCCACATTTGGTCTAAGTTTTCAAATTTATTGGCATGTAGGTGGTCATGGTAGCCTCTAATGATCCTTTGAATTTCTGTGGTATAGGTTGTAATTTTTTTTAATCTCTGACTTTATTTATTTTCCTCTTTTATTTAGTCTGGTTAAAGATTTGTCAATTTTTTTTTCTTTTCTAAAAACCAGCTTTTAGTTTCATTGATCTTTTATATTGCTTTATTTGTTTCAATTGCATTTATTTCTGCTCTGATCTTTATTATTTCTCTTCTTCTACTAATTTTTGGCTTGGTTTGCGTTTATTTTTCCAGTTCTTTAAGATGTATCTTTAGGTTGTTTGCTTTTCCACCTTTTGATGTAGGTGCTTACACCTATAAACTTCCCTCTTGATATTTGGTACTTCCCTCTTGCTTTTGCTGTAACCCCATAGGTTTTGGCATGGCATGCTGTGTTTTTATTATTATTTGTTTCAGTTAGTTTTTCAAGTTCTTCCTTAATTTGTTCATTGACCCACTGGTCATTCAGGAGCATATTGTTTAATTTTCATGTATTTGTATAGTTTCCAGAATTCCTCATTATTGATTTCTAGGTTTATTCCATTGTGGTCAGAGAAGGTACTTTATATTATTTCATTTTTTTTTTTTAGTGTCTTAAGACTTGTTTTGTGGCCTAATACATGTTCTGCCCTTCAGAATGATTTATGTGCTAATGAGAATAATGTGTACTCTGCAGCTGTTGGATTAAAGATAAGTTTTTCTTGCGCCTTAAGTAACAGCTTGGCCACAGGGGTAGAGCACCAGGTAGGCTCTTGGGGTCCCTGACTCCATGCCTTGGCTCTTGGTTGGCATTTTTGGACCTGCCTTGGACCAACCAGAGTGGGGAGCCCACTGTCCTGAAGAGAGAGTCCCAGGCCTGACAGCATTCACCACAAGTTGACTGAAGAGCCCTTGGAGTTTTTTTTTTTTTTTTTTTTTTTTTTAATTTTGAGACAGAGTCTCTCTGTCTCACCCAGACTGGAGTGCAGTCGTGTGATCTTGGCTCACTGCAACCTCCACCTCCTGGGTTCAAGCAATTCTCATGCCTCAGCCTCCTGAGTAGCTGGGATTACAGGCATGTGCCACCACACCTGGCTAATTTTTATATTTTTAGTAGAGACGGAGTTTCACCATGTTGGCCAGGCTGGTCTTGAACTCCTGGCTTCAAGGGTTCTGCCCACCTTGGCCTCTCAAAGTGTTGGGATTACAGGCAGCCCTTGGGCTTCAAGAGAACATTGGCAGTAGCCTGGCAGTAGTCCCTATGGGTCTGTGGTGGTGGTTACCACAGGGTGAGGCTCCTCTTCCTATGGAAAGGGGAGGGAAGTATGGGAAGGACTGTAGTCTTGTGGTTTGAGTGCCAGTTCAGCCGCAGTACAATAGAATACCAGGTAGGTTTCTAAGGTGTTTGACCCTAGTCTGGCTTCTGTGCAGTATCCCTGGACCTGCCCTAAGGCCTAGGGGGAAATTTTCATGCTTTAGGGAAGGATATAAGCTTGGTTGGCTTCACCATCTGCTGATTTTTGAGACATAGGACCTTGTGCGAACATAGTTGGTAGCCAGGTAGTAGTTACAGGCAGCCTGGGATGTGACTCAGTACTGTGCTGGCATCAGGTCTGACCCAGCACAGTCCCAGTGTGGCAGCCATAGGAGTACTTGTGTCACCCCACCCCCAGCTCCAAGCAACTCAGTACAGAGAGAGAGAGAGAGAGTCTCCATTTGTTTGGGAGAAAGTGTGGGAAGATAACAATAGTTTCTATATGCTAATCCATAAAATTCTTCCAGATCTTATCCAAGACCATCAAGGCAATACCTCTAGAAGTCTGTAAGAGCTACAGTGTTACTGGGCTTGGGGTGCCCCCTAATGCAGGTATGACTTAGATCACAACACCGAAGTTCTTTCCAATACCTGGAAAGTCTTCCCAAGGACAGATACAAAGAAGCCCTGAATGCAAAAATTACAGTAAATACCTAACTCATATATATGCCCAGACACCAGCAAACATCCATAAGCATCAAGATTATCCAGGAAAACGTGACTTCACCAAATGAGTTAAATGAGGCACCAGGGACCAATCCTGGAGAAACAGATATGTGACCTTTTTCAGACAGAGAATTCCAAAGAGCTGCTTTGAGGGAAACTCAAAGAAATTCAAGATAATATGGAAAAGGAATTCAGAAGTCTATCAGAGAGACTGAATTAATTAAAAAAGAATCAAGCAGAAACTCTGGAGTTGAAAATGCAATTGAACTACTCAAGAATGCATTTTAAGTCTTTTAGTAGCAGAATTGATCAGACAGAAAGTATTAGTGAGTGTGAAGACAACCTGCTTAAAAATACAGTCAGAGGAGACAGAAGAAAAAAGAATAAAAAAGAATGAAGCATGCCTTCATTCTAGGCAAAAGATCTTGGAAATAGCCTCAAAGGCCAAATCTAAGAGTTATTGGTCTTAAAGAGGAGGTAGAGAAAGAGATAAGGGTAGAGAGTTTATTTAAAGGGATAACAGAACTTCCCAAATCTAGAGAAAGATATTAGTATATAATTAAAAAATGGTTATAGAACACCAAGCTGATTCAACTGAAAGACTACCTCAAGACATTTAATAACCAAACTCCCAGAGATCAAAGATAAAGTATCCTAAAAGCAGTAAGAGAAGAGAAACAACATACAATGGAGCTCCAGCATGTCTGGCAGCAGAGTTTTCAGTGGAAACCTTACAGGCTGCAGAGAGTGGCATGACATACTTAAAGAGCTGAAGGGAGGCGGTTCCAAGATGGCCAAATAGGAACAGCTCTAGTCTGTAGCTCCCAGTGTGAGCGACACAGAAGATGGGTGATTTCTGCATTTCCAACTGAGGTACCAGGTTCATCTCACTGGGGCTTGTCGGACAGTGGGTGCAGCGCACCAAGCGTGAACCAAAGCAGGGTGAGGCATCATCTCACCCAGGAAGCATGAAGCGTCAGGGAATTCCCTTTCCTAGCCAAGTAAAGCTGTGACAGATGGCACCTAGAAAATTGGGTCACTCCCACCCTAATACTGTGTTTTTTGAATGGTCTTAGCAAACGGCACACCAGGAGATTATATCCCACTCCTGGCTTGGAGGGTCCCATGCCCATGGAGCCTCACTCATTGCTAGCACAGCAGTCTGAAATTGAACTGCAAGGTGGCAGCAAGGCTGGGGGAGGGGCATCCACCATTGCTGAGGCTTGAGTAGGTAAACAAAGTGGCGGGGAAGCTCGAACTGGGTGGACCCCACTGCAGCTCAAGGAGGCCTGCCTGCCTCTGTAGACTCCACCTCTGGGGACAGGGCATAGCTGAACAAAAGGCAGCAGAAACCTCTGCAGACTTAAATGTCCCTGTCTGACAGTTTTGAAGAGAGTATTGGTTCTCCTAGCACAGAGTTTGAGATCTGAGAACGGACAGACTGCCTCCTCAAGTGTGTCCCTCACCCCTGAGTAGCCTAACTGGGAGGTAGGCCCCAGTAGGGGCAGACTGACACCTCACACGGCTGGGTACCTCTCTGAGACGAAACTTCAAGAGGAATCATCAGGCAGCAACATTTGCTGTTCAGCAGTATTCGCTGTTCTGCAGCCTCTGCTGCTGAAACCCAGGCATACAGGGTCTGGAGTGGACCTCCAGCAAACACCAACAGACCTGCAGCTGAGGGTCCTGATTGCTAGAAGGAAAACTAACAAACAGGACATCCACACCAAAACCTCATCTGTATGTCACTATCATCAAAGACCAAAGGTAGATAAAAACACAAAGATGGCAAGAAACCAGAGCAGAAAAGCTGAAAATTCTAAAAATCAGAATTTTTAGAATTCTGCTGCAGAGGAATGAAGCTCCTCACCAGCAACGGAACAAAGCTGGATGGAGAATGACTTTGAAGAGTTGAGAGAAGAAGGCTTCAGAAGACCAAACTTCTCTGGGCTAAAGGAAGATGTTCGAACCCATCTCAAAGAAGTTAAAAACCTTGAAAAAAGATAGACGAATGGCTAACTAGAATAACCAATGTAGAGAAGTCCTTAAATGACATGATGGAACTGAAAACCGTGGCACAAGAACTACATGACACATGTACAAGCTTCAATAGCCGATTTCATCAACTGCAAGAAAGAATATCAGTGATTGAAGACCAAATGAATGAAATTAAGCAAGAAGGGAAGTTTAGAGAAAAAAGAATAAAAATAAATGAACAAAGTCTCCAAGAAATATGGGACTATGTGAAAAGACCAAATCTACGTTTGATTGGTGTACCTGAAAGTGACGGGGAGAATGGAACCAAGTTGGAAAACACTCTGCAGGATATTATCCAGGAGAACTTCCCCAATCTAGCAAGGCGGGCCAACATTCAAATTCAGGAAATACAGAGAACGTCACAAAGATAATCCTCAGGGAGAGCAACTCCAAGACACAATTGTCAGATTCACCAAAGTTGAAATGAAGGAAAAAATGTTAAGGGCAGCCAGAGAGAAAGGTCGAGTTACCAACAAAGGGAAGCCCATCAGACTAACAGGGGATCTCTCGACAGAAACTCTACAAGCCAGAAGAGAGTGGGGACCAATATTCAGCATTCTCAAAGAAAAGAATTTTCAACCCAGAATTTCATATCCAGCCAAACTAAGCTTCATAAGTGAAGGGGAAATAAAATCCTTTATAGACAAGCAAATGCTGAGAGATTTTGTCACCACCAAGCCTGCTCTACAAGAGCTCCTGAAGGAAGCATTAAACATGGAAAAGAACAACTGGTACCAGCCACTGCAAAAACATGCCAAATTGTAAAGACCATCAATGCTAGGAAGAAACTGCATCAACTAACGAGCAAAATCACCAGCTAACATCATAATGACAGGATCAAATTCACACATAACAATATTAACCTTAAATGTAAATGGGCTAAATGCTCCAATTAAAAGACACAGACTGGCAAATTGGATAAAGAGTCAAGATCCATCAGTGTGCTGTATTCAGGAAACCCATCTCACGTGCAGAGACACACATAGGGTCAAAATAAAGGGATGGAGGAAGATCTACCAAGCAAATGGAAAGCAAAAAAAGGCAGGGGTTGCAATCCTAGTCTCTGATAAAACAGACTTTACACCAACAAAGATTAAAAGAGACAGGGCCATTACATAGTAGTAAAGGGATCAGTTCAACAAGAAGAGCTAACTATCCTAAATATACATGCACCCAATACAGGAGCACCCAGATTCACAAAGCAAGTCCTTAGAGACCTACAAAGAGACTTAGACTCCCACACAATAATAATAGGAGACTTTAACACCCCACTGTCAACATTAGACAGATCAGTGAGACAGAAAGTTAGCAAGAATATTCAGGAATAGAACTCAGCTCTGCATCAAGCGGACCTAATAGACATCTACAGAACTCTCCACCCCAAATCAACAGAATATACATTCTTCTCAGCACCACATCACACTTATTCCAAAATTGACCACATAGTTGGAAGTAAAGCACTCCTCAGCAAATGTAAAAGAACAGAAATTATAACAAACTGTCTCTCAGACCACAGTGCAATCAAACTAGAAATGAGGATTAAGAAACTCACTCAAAACTGCTCAACTACATGGAAACTGAACAACCTGCTCCTGAATGACTACTGGGTACATAACGAAATGAAGGCAGAAATAAAGATGTTCTTTGAAACCAATGAGAACAAAGACACAACATACCAGAACCTCTGGGACACATTTAAAGCAGTGTGTAGAGGGAAATTTATAGCACTAAATGCCCACAAGAGAAAGCAGGAAAGATCTAAAATTGACACCCTAACATCACAATTAAAAGAACTAGATAAGCAAGAGCAAACACATTCAAAAGCTAGCAGAAGGCAAGAAATAACTAAGATCAGAGCAGAACTGAAGGAGATAGAGACACAAAAAACCCTTCAAAAAATCAATGAATCCAGGAGCTGGGTTTTTTAAAAGATCAGCAAAATTGATAGACTGCTAGCAAGACTAATAAAGAAGAAAAGAGAGAAGAATCAAATAGATGCAATAAAAAATGATAAAAGGGATATCACCACCGATCCCACAGAAATACAAACTACCATCAGAGAATACTGTAAACACCTCTACGCAAATAAACTAGAAAATCTAGAAGAAATGGTTAAATTCCTCGATACATACACCCTCCCAAGA
Organism: Homo sapiens; assembly: GCF_000001405.40. Classification (NCBI taxonomy): domain Eukaryota; kingdom Metazoa; phylum Chordata; class Mammalia; order Primates; family Hominidae; genus Homo; species Homo sapiens. The sequence continues at coordinate 50,889,086 of NC_000001.11, read as the reverse complement.
CTAAACCAGGAAGAAGCTGAATCTCTGAATAGACCAATAACAGGCTCTGAAATTGAGGCAATAATTAATAGCTTACCAACCAAAAAAAGTCCGGGACCAGATGGATTCAGAGCTAAATTCTACCAGAGGTACAAGGAGGAGCTGGTACCATTCCTTCTGAAACTATTCCAATCAATAGAAAAAGAGGGAATCCTCCCTAACTCATTTTATGAAGCCAGCATCATCCTGATACCAAAGCCTGGCAGAGACACAACAAAAAAAGAGAATTTTAGACCAATATCCCTGATGAACATCAATGCAAAAATCCTCAATAAAATACTGGCAAACCAAATCCAGCAGCATATCAAAAAGCTTATCCACCATGATCAGGTGGGCTTCATCCCTGGGATGCAAGGCTCGTTCGACATACGCAAATCAGTAAACGTAATCCAGCATATAAACAGAACCAAAGACAAAAACCTAATCGATGCAGAAAAGGCCTTTGACAAAATTCTACAGCCCTTCATGCTAAAAAGTCTCAATAAATTAGGTATTAATGGGATGTATCTCAATATAATAAGAGCTGTTTATGACAAACCCACAGCCAATATCATACTGAATGGGCAAAAACTGGAAGCATTCCCTTTGAAAACTGGCACTAGACAGGGATGCCCTCTCTCACCACTTCTTTTCAACATAGTGTTGGAAGTTCTGGCCAGGGCAATCAGGCAGGAGAAAGAAAGAAAGGGGATTCAATTAAGAAAAGAGGAATAAAATTGTCCCTGTTTGCAGATGACATGATTGTATATTTAGAAAACCCCATCGTCTCAGCCCAAAATCTCCTTAAGGTGATAAGCAACTTCAGCAAAGTCTCAGGATACAAAATCAATGTGCAAAAATCACAAGCATTCATATACACCAATAACAGACAAACAGAGCCAAATCATGAGTGAACTCCCATTCACAATTGCTTCAAAGAGAATAAAACACCTAGGAATCCAACTTACAAGGGACGTGAAGGACCTCTTCAAGGAGAACTACAAACCACTGCTCAATGAAGTAAAAGAGGATACAAACAAATGGAAGAACATTCCATGCTCATGGATAGGAAGAATCAATATCGTGAAAATGGCCATACTGCCCAAGGTAATTCATAGATTCAATGCCATCCCCATCAAGCTACCAATGACTTTCTTCACAGAATTGGAGAAAACTACTTTAAAGTTCATATGGAACCAAAAAAGAGCCTGCCTTGCCAAGACAATCCTAAGCCAAAAGAACAAAGCTGGAGGCATCATGTTACCTGACTTGAAACTATACTGCAAAGCTACAGTAACCAAAACAGCATGGTACTGGTACCAAAACAGAGATATAGACCAATGGAACAGAACAGAGCCCTCCAAAATAATGCCACACATCTACAACCATCTGATCTTTGACAAACCTGATAAAAACAAGAAATGGGGAAAGGATTCCCTGTTTAATAATTGGTGCTGGGAAAACCGGCTAGCCATATGTAGAAAGCTGAAACTGGATCCCTTCCTTACACCTTCTACAAAAATTAATTCAAAGATGGATTAAAGACTTAATTATTAGACCTAAAACCATAAAAACCCTAGAAGAAAATGTAGGCAATACCATTCAGGCTATAGGCATGGGCAAGGACTTCATGTCTAAAACACCAAAAGCAATGGCAACCAAAGCCAAAATTGACAAATGGGATCTAATTAAACTAAAGAGCTTCTGCACAGCAAAAGAAACTACCATCAGAGTGAACAGGCAACCTACCGAATGGGAGAAAATTTTTTCAATCTACTCATCTGACAAAGGGCTAATATCCAGAACCTACAAAGAACTCAAACAAATTTACAAGAAAACAACAACCCCATCAACAAGTGGGCGAAGGATGTGAACAGGTACTTCTCAAAAGAAGACATTTATGCAGCCAACAGACACATGAAAAAATGCTCATCATCACTGGCCATCAGAGAAATGCAAATCAAAACCACAATCAGATACCATCTCACACCAGTTAGAATGGCGATCATTAAAAACGTCAGGAAACTGCAGGTGCTGGAGAGGATTTGGAGAAATAGGAACACTTTTACACTGTTGGTGGGACTGTAAAGTAGTTCAACCATTGTGGAAGACAATGTGGGGATTCCTCAAGGATCTAGAAGTAGAAATACCATTTGACCCAGCCATCCCACTACTGGGTATATACCCAGAGGATTATAAGTCATGCTGCTATAAGGACACATGCACACGTATGTTTATTGCGGCACTATTCACAATAGCAAAGACTTGGAACCAACCTAAATGTCCATCAATGATAGACTGGATTAAGAAAATGTGGCACATATACACCATTGAATACTATGCAGCCATAAAGAAGGATGAGTTCATGTCCTTTGTAGGGACATGGATGAAGCTGGAAACCATCATTCTCAGCAAACTATTGCAAGGAGAAAAAACCAAACACCACATGTTCTCACTCATAGGTGGGAATTGATCAATGAGAACACATGGACCCAGGAAGGGGAAAATCACACACCGGGGCCTGTTGTGGGGTGGGGGGAGTGGGGAGGGATAGCATTAGGAGATATAGCTAGTGTAAATGACGAGTTAGTGGGTGCAGCACACAAACATGGCACATGTGTACATATCTAAGAAACCTGTACATTGTGCATATGTACCCTAGAACTTAAAGTATAGTAATTAAAAAGCTGAAGGAAAAAAACTTTGACCCTGGAATAATATAAAATATTCAGTGAAAATATCCTTCAAACATGAGGAGAAATACTTTCCCAAAGAAAAGCGGAGGGATTTCATCAACACCAGACCTGTCCTACAAGAAGTGTTAAAGGGAGTACTTCAATCTGAAAGAAAAGGATGATAATGAGCAATAAGATATCACTTGAGGGTAAAATAAACCACTGGCAACAGTAAATACACAGAAAAACACAGAATAATATAATACTATAACTTTGGTGTGTAAACCATTCTCAAATAGAAGGACTAAAATATGAACTGATCAAAAATAACTACAACAACTTTTCAAAACATAGACAGTACAGGAAGATATAAATAGAAACAAAAAGTTAAAAAGAGGGGGGCTGATGTTAAGATGTAGAGTGTTTCTTTTTGCTTCTTTTTTTTGTTTATGTAAACAGTTTCAAGTTGTTATCCGCTTAAGATAATGGGTTATAAGATAGTATTTGGAAGCCTCGTGGTAACCTCCAATATAAAAACATACAGAATATACACAAGAAAGAAAGAGCAAGAAATTAACTCATACTACCAGAGAAAGTCACCTTCTGTAAAAGGAAGAAAGGAAGGCAACAAAGAAGGAAGAGAATACCACAAAACAACTGGAAAACAAGTAACAAAATGGCAGGAGTAAATCTTTACTTATTCATGGTAACATTGAATATAAATGGACTAAACTCTTCAATGGAAAGACAGTGGCTGAATGGATACAAAAACAAGACCCAAATGGTCTGTTGCCTACAAGAAACACACTTCACCTATAAAGACACATATAGACTGAAAATAAAGGGATGGAAAGAGATATTCCATGTAATGGAAACCAAAAAAGAGCATGCATAACTATAGTTATATCAGACAAAATAAAGTTCAGGACAACTATAAGAAAAGACAAAGGTTACTGTATAATGATAAAGGGCTCAGTTCAGCGAGGCCATAACAATTGTGAATATATATGCATCTAACACTGGGGCACCTAGATATGTAAAGCAAATATTGAGAGAGAGAGAGAGAGAGTGTGTGTGTGTGAGAGAGAGAGAGAGAGAAAGAGACACGGAGAGAATGGGAAACCTTAATACAATAATAGCTAGAGACTTCAACATACACAAGATCAATGAAAGGCAAAGTTGGTTTTTTTGAAAAGATAAACAATATTGACAAATCTTTAGCCAGACTAAGAAAAGACAGAAGACCCAAATAAATAAAATCAGAGATGAAAAACGACACGTTATGTCTGATACTGTGGAAATTCAAAGGTTCATTAGTGACTACTCAGAGCAACTATATGCCAATAAATTGACAAATCTAAAGGAAGTAATTTTCTAGACAAATAAAACCTTCCAAGATTCAACCATAAAGAAATCTAAAACCTGAAGAGACCAATAACGAGCAGCAACATGATCGAAGGTGTAACGAAAAATCTGCCAGCAAAGAAAAGCCTGGGACTCAATGGTCTCAACTGCTAAATTCTACTATATACATAAAGAAGAACGAATACCAATTTTACTCAACCTAATATGAAAAATAGAGGAAGGAATACTTACAAACTCATTCTACAAGGCCAGTATTACCCTGATGCCAAAATCAGAAAAAAACACATCAAAACAAAAAACAAACCAAAAAAAACTACAGTTCAGTATCCCCAACTAATACTGATACAGAAATCCTCAACAAAATACTAGCAAACAAAATTCAACAACACATTAAAAAAGTTATTAATCATGACCAAGGGGGATGTGTCTGAGAGATCCAAGGATGGTTCAGCATACACAAGTAAATCTGCTTGTATTTAAGAAAAAAAATTTTTTTTTTTTTTTTTTGAGACAGAGTCTCACTCTGTGGCCCAGACTGGAGTGCGTGATCTCAGCTTACTGCAACCTCCACCTACCAGGTTCAAGCGATTCTCCTGCCTCAGCATCGCGAGTAGCTGGGACTGCAGGTGCATATCACCATGCCCGGCTAATTTTGTATTTTTTTTTTCTTTTTTTTTAGTAGAGGCAGGGTTTCGCCTGTTGGCCAGGCTAGTCTTGAACCCCTGGCCTCAAGTGATCCATCCGCCTCGGCCTCCCAAAGTGCTGGGATTACAGGCTTGAGTCACTGTGCCTGGCCTATATTTAAGAATTTTTAACATGTCATGTGTTTTATTTCTATGTATACATACAAGTTTGTTGCTTTGTTGTTTGAAAGTAACTTGTAGACATCATTATACTTCATTGTTAAGTACTTCCTCGCTCCGTTGCCCAGGCTGGAGTGCAGTGGTGCAGTCTTGGCTCACTGCAACTTCCGCCTCCTGGGTTCAAGCGATTCTCCTGCCTCAGCCTCCCGAGTAGCTGGGATTAGAGGTGTGCACCACCATGCCTGGCTAATTTTTGTATTTTTAGTAGAGACGGGGTTTCTCCATGTTGGCCAGGCTGGTCTGGAATTCCTCACCTCAGGTGATCCGCCTGCCTCACCCTCCCAAAGTGCTGGGATTATAGGTATGAGCCACTGCGCCTGGCCTAATTTCCCGTATACTCAATACTGTACGTCTCAGTAAATTAATAATTCCATAATATCTTCTAAAATCCAGGCAACACTGAAAATTTCCTAGTTATGCTGAAAAAATTTTTTTTACAGCTTTTCCTGTCAGTATCTAATTTACAGTTGTATATTACATTTGATGGTTGTATCTTTAGTCTCTTTTAGTGTGGAAGAGGTCTCCTAACTCTTTGTGGAAGGAGGGGAGGGAATAACATTAACTTGTGAGGGGTCCAGGATAGTCTTGTGAAATGTGCATTTTAGAGTTGTTCAGTTGTTTCTTCATGGTGTCATTTGACTTGTCTTCTTCCTTTAAGTCTAGAGGCTTGATAAGACATTGGTGGAAGACTTTGCTTCATGAGTGATACTGTCAACTTTATATCGTATACCAGAAGGCTTATAACCTGACGTTGTCTTAGTATTTGTGATACTTAGTTTGGTCATTTAGTTTAGGTGGTAACTGGCAAATTAGCAAGTAATCTGGGGGTGATACTTTAGCATTTTGCAAATAAAAATCCATTTTTAAAAGAATCAACATGGATTTTTATTTATTCAGTGTATTATAATTCAGTATAGGCATTTTTATTTATTTTTCTTTTTATTTCAGACATTTTTATTTTTGATGTTCAGATTGTCCCATACATCTGTTAGTTGCCCAGTGTTGTTTTGGACACTTAGGCATTTGAATTGCATCCTAGGTGCGTAAATAGGGGTTTCCAGGTGGGGCAAACAGTGACCTCCTGGTTATCAAATCTGGTGGGCATTTATGAGTCCTGATTTTAGATCTCTAAGCTGCATTTCAAAATCAATGCATTAACCTAGTTTTTTTTTTTTTTTTTGGAGACAAGAGTCTCACTCTGTTGCCTAGGCTAGAGTGCAGTGGCGCAATCTCGGCTTACTACAACCCGCCTCCCGTGTTCAAGTGATTCTCCTGCCTCAGCCTCCCGAGTGTCTGGGATTACAGGTGCCTGCCACCATGCCCAGCTAATTTTTGTATTTTTAGTAGAGATGGGGTTTCACCATGTTGGCCACGCTGGTCTTGAACTCCTGACCTCAGGTGATCTGCCCACGTTGGCCTCCCAAAGTGCTGGGATTACAGGTGTGAGCCACCGCACCCAGCCATTAACCTAGTATTTTTAGTTTGTGTGTGTTTACACATACATACATACATACACATTTATTTATTTATTTATTTATTTATTTATTTATTTATTTATTTATTTAAGACAGAGTCTTGCTCTGTTGTCCAGGCTGGACTGCAGTGAGGTGATCTTGGCTGACCACAACCTCTGCCTCTCGGGCTCAAGCCATTCTTCTGCCTCAGCCTCCTGAGTAGCTGGGATTACAGGCATGTGTCACCATGCCTGGCTAATTTTTTAATTTTTGTATTTTTAGTGGAGACAGGGTTTTACCATGTTGGCCAGGCTGATCTCAAACTCCTGACCTCAAGTAATCCACCCGCCTTGGCCTCCCAAAGTGCTGGGATTACAGGTGTGAGCCACTGTGCCTGGCCTACATATGTATATTTAATGCAGCAACTTATCTTTCATTTTAGATCTTCTTACAATGTACATTTACCATTCTTGTTTTGTTAGCCAGAGTTTTTTCTTCCAAGGTGTTTTCTTTTGGGGCTTAATTTAGGGCTTAGGCTTAAGTAATATGGAACTTGGTTTCTTTTCAACTATGTGTTTTTATGTGTATTATATATTTTATGTATTTTGTATTTTGGTGCAATAATCTTTGTTTAGAGTAATGACGACATTTTAGATGCTTACTGTTTTTTAAAGCATTGTTATTTTCATGGGTATTGAAACAATGCCTTTTGTGTGAAGTCACCATTAAAATACATAATCTCCAAATACATCAACTGAAGAGCAAAAATCTTACAATTTTCAGGGTTTCCAGCTGAAAAATTTATGCTTTACCTGTATATGTTTTCAATGCACATATTAATGTTGCCTTCTCATAAATGCACTTTTTCTGCAGCTATTAAAGAATTTCTTAGTTCAACATTAAAATTATATATAGGCATTTAATATAATCCTCTGTGGTAGATGAAATAAGATTCAAGTGTTTTAGAAACCACTCATGTAATGGGAGAGATAACAGTGATAAGCTTGTTTTTTTTGCTATATGGAAAACAACATCAGCTCTGCAAAAATACCTGCAGGTGTTGCCAAGGGTCTTCCCGATTGATACTTTCAACTTACTGACATGTATGGAAGTATTTACTCAAATCCCCAGTATCCTCTGTATCATAATATGTGGAAGACTTCATTGTAGACTGGATGTTCCTTCTTTTGGTAGTGTGAGGGAGTGTGATAGGTAGATTTTTGGAATAATTAATTCAGTCATGTAAATAATCAGTTACCATGAAACTCAAGTTGAGACAGTACTTAAGTTTTCGGTCTTTCAGGATGAGTTCACCAGGAGGACAACTTTGAAAGTAGCCTTCCAGACTGAGGAAACAGCATGTGCACAAGAACAATACCAAAAATATTTCTGTGCCAGAGAAGTTCAGTAGATTGTATAAGGGGGCCACCTACATCACAACCACCTAGTGAATTTTCTAAAATACAGATTCTTGGGCCTCATCAAAAACTAACCAAAAAAGAGTCTCTGGGAATGGGGCCTAGGATTTTTTATTTTTCTTTCACTTTTAAGTTTTAGCAAAATAATTCTTGTATTTGTCTAGAACAGTGATTCTCATACTAGCTACACTCATTAGAATCACCTGGGGAGCTTTTTAAACAGTACTAATGTTTGAACCCCACTCAGACTAATTACAATCAGAATCTCTGAGTTTGTAAGCTAGTGATGTTGACATTTAAAATATATATATATCCAGGTAATTCTTTTATATAGCAAGCATTGAGAACCACTGGTCCAGAAGGTGATTCCAAAGCTGAAAACCAACAAGTACCATTGAAATTGCAGAGCCAAATGGTGTGCTAGAGTTTAGTTTTTTTCCTTTCTATGATGGTAACTCTACGACTGAACAACTCATGAAATTTATAATATTGTAAGTCAAACTTATTCTCTTTTTGTTCTGCCCTACATTAATTGCTCTTGTTATGCCACATTTTACTCAGGTGGCCGTAACAATATCGTACACTGGGTGCCTTAAACAACAGAAACAAATTTTCTCACAGTTCTGGAGGCTAGAAGTCCACGATCAATGTTTCACATGATATCATTTCTAGCGAAGGCTCCTCCTGGCTTGCAGATGGCTGCCTTCTCACTGTGTCCTCATATGACTTTCCTTGGTGTGTACATGTGGAGATAGTGTACGAGTTCTCTAGTATTTCTATCTATAAGGATAGTAATCCTGTTGGATCAGTGCCCCGTCCTTGTGACCTCATTTAACCTTAATTATTTCCTTACTCCGAATACGGCCAGCCACATTGGGAGTTAGGGCTCTAACATGAATTGAGGAGGGGCATAAACATGCAGTTCCTAATACTTTATATTTTGGAGCATGATACTCTTACAAAATCCTTTCCTCTCACTCTACCCCCACTTCTTTTGTGATAGCCCTTTTTCCCTTTTTTTAATTAACAGAAATCTTATTTCTTAATCAAGACATGAATATCAGCTCCTTGGCTGGTCTGTTTATTGCTTGACATCAATTTAATTCTTCATGAAAGCATGCTCCTTAGACACTACTGGATAGAAACCAGTAACATTCCTTAATATTAGCAGGCTAGAAAGGAGTCAGTGGATTGGAAATTGTGTCCTGGCCAAAATAGAAGTTTTAACCCAGGCTATCTTGTGTTTGCTTTAGCATAAATAATAGAGAAGATGAAATGATATGTGTTTTTCTCTACTTTGTCAAGACTTATGCTTTTTGTTGTTGTTGTTGGTTCAGTGTTTCTAGAAATTTGAATTGGAGTTCTCTTAGGCAGATTCCCATAGTCCCTTCCACATCTTATCATCCTACTTCTTCTGACTGCCTTAGCCAATTAAGGCAGTGGTTCTTAAACTTTAGCTTGCATCAGAATCATCTGGAGGAATTGTTAAAACACAGATTACTGGACCCCAACCCGAGATTGTGATTTAGGAGTATGGGGTCAGGCCTGAGAATTTACATTTCAAACATGTTCTCAGGTGATGCTGATGCTGCTGGTCTAGGAACAACACTTTGAGAACCACAAATTTGAGGTACCTACCTAGCCTCAAAAGACAATTACATTTGTAAATCTGATGTATTTTCCCGTTTTCAGTTGTTGAAATCCTAGTTCTCTTTCATGATCTAGCTTAAATGTTTTCTGCCCCTGAATCTTTCCCATCTACCTAATTGGAATTAATTTTTTATTTTCTCTTTCATCAGATACAGTTTTTAACATATATTATAGCAATTATTTTCATTCTGGTTCATAAAGCTAATTGTTTGTACATATACTAGGTTGTGAATTTCTGAGTATAGGGAATATATGGTCATCTTTGTATTCACCCTCCCACCAGAGAACAGTTACCAAATTCCATTTGGTTTCTAATGAATTGAGGTAACCAGTCATAGATGAATTACATTAATCTGATTCATTCATTCATTCATTCATTCATTCATTTGTTTATTTTTTGAAACAAGGTCTCGCTCTGTGGCCCAGACTGGAGTGCAGTGGCGCAATCTTGTCTCACTGTAGACTCCGCCTCCCGGGTTCAAGAGATTATCATACCTCAGCCTCCCCAGCAGCTGGGGTTACAGGTGCCCACCATACACCCGGCTAAGTTTTGTATTTCTAGGAGAGACGGGGTTTCACCATGTTGGTCAGGCTTGTTTTGAACTCCTGACCTCAAGTGATCTGCCCACCTTGGCCTCCCAAAATGGTGGGATTATAGGCATAAGCCACCATACCTGCCCTAATCTGATTCACTTATGCTTTCATTTAGTAACATTTAACAAGAGAGACAGAGCTGTGGGGGAAAGTGTTCTGGGATTGTAATTCTAATATCATTTGCTAACACTGTGATTCTGGGCTCATTGCTTAATCTCATTGTTAAAATGGTCATAATGGTATCTACTTCATAGGGTTGGTGAGATGATTAAATGAGATAAACTAAGTTGCCTGGTCCACAGTAACTTGTTGCTAGTTAGTTTTTAATGTGTAAGGATTTTAATGGGCATAATAATATCTATCTTGTGGTATCATTGAGAGGATTAAAAGGTACTGTAAATTGCTTGGCTCATCATAAATAACTTCTTAGTTGGCTGCTAATGTGTAAGGGTTTTATGGTGAGGATACCAAATTGATTTTGAGTGTTTTCTGTGGCCTCAATTCCTTAATTTCAGAATTCTGTTACTTGAATATTCCTTGCTGTATTTTGATAACTTTTATATCTTAGCTCTAGGTCTTAGGGTGAAATGAGAAGAAACCACCCACAGCAGATGTTTCTGTGTCTGTTTCAAAAGGTTGTGAGTTACCTGACTAGAATCCTAGCCTCTTACTGGTTTCTTTGGCTTTTGAGTAATAGCTGAATTTAGTTCTCTGAGGACTGCTTAGGAAAATAGATAGCTTTGACTACCAGTGGACAACACTGTAACTCATCAAAAACAACTTTCATGCTTACTAAGTTCATTTTGTTTCAAAGGGCACAGTGTTGAAGTCAGTAAAATATGGAGACAAATTTCTAAATTTAATGTTATATTTTGGGAAGCAAGAATTGCAGTTTGGGGCATACACAGACTGGGTGGTCTTTTGTATGTCTGAAGAACAAAGAGAAGGTTAGTTTTATTAAAAAGAGAAATGTTATATATTGTTTTGAAGGAAAGCTAATTGGTACTACAGAAGCTTTTGTGAGCTGGCAAGCTCAGATTGGCAAGTGATAGTGGTAGGTAAAACCAGTCTTAGAGCAACAACAGGTTGTTTCAGCAGCTGCTAGGTGAAAATGTTCTTAGGGTTATAGAAGGCCATTTCAGCAACTGGGCTTGTGGAAAATAATTCTTGCAGCAAGTACTATGTGCTCTGAGAGCTTTTTCCCTCTGGCTCCTTGTCTCTGATTTAGTTGGGTATCACAAGAATTTATATAATTAACTTTCACAACAGCCGTTTCTGTTAGTCAGCAGTAAACTGAAGGGAGAAAACACTAATTAGAATGAGGAAGCATTTCTTCCTGGCCAGGAGGGTACTTAGAAAACAAAGAACTGTTACATGTTGGTATAAAAAAGGAATAATGTAACTAGTGGAACATACATATATTACATATGTAATATAAATATTTATTATAAACATCACATATTTATACCTATATTAGGGTTAGGTGTAGGTAGCTCTAACCCTAATGTATATTTACATGTATTTTTAATACATAATATATGATATTTTTACCTAATGTTCTTTTCTGTTCCAGGATGCCATCTAAGATACCACATTAGATTTAGTTACTATACTTCCTTAGGCTCCTCCTTCTGTGTTAGTTTCACAGCCATTCCTTGTTTTTGATGGCTGACAGTTTTCAAGAATACTGTTCAAGTATTTTGTAAAGTGTACATCAGTAGGGATTTGTCTAATCTTTTTCTCATGATTAAACTGGAACTATGGGACTTGGGAAGGAAGACCACAGAGGTAAAGTACCATTTTCATCACATTATATTTTAACATGACTTAGCATTGTTGATATTGACCTTGATCACCTGACTGAGCGTTGTTAGGTTTCTCCACTGTAAAGGTACTCTTTCTCCCCACTACCTGTGCTGTCGCCCTTGGGAAGGAAGTTACTATGTGCATCCCATACTTTAGGAATAGGAAATTATACTCAACCTCCTTGAGGGTGGAGTAGCTACATAAATTATTTGAAATTCTTTTACATAAGGAATTTGTCTCTTCCCTGTTTATTTATTTATTAAATCATTTATTTATATCTATCTGGACTCATGGATATTTATTTTATAATTTAGGTTGTAATTCAATACTACTTCACTTTGTTGAAATGTTTTAGCTTTTGGCTGGGTGCGGTGGCTCATGCCTGTAATCCCAGCACTTTGGGAGGCCGAGGTGGGCGGACCACCTGAGGTCAGGAGTTCAAGACCAGCCTGGCCAACATGGCAAAACCCCATCTCTACTAAAAATACAAACATTAGCCAGGTGTGGTGGTGCTCCTGTAATCCCAGCTACTCAGGAGGCCGAGGTAGGAGAATCACTTGAACCTGGGAGGCGGAGGTTGCTGTGAGCTGAGATTGCGCCACTGCACTCCAGCCTGGGTGACAGAGTGAGACTCCATCTCAAAACAAAACAAAACAAAAAAACAAATGTTTTAGCTTTGGCCATTGGGAGTTCAGTTAGCTTTATATCCCTTTGACGTATTCGTTTGTCGTATCCCCATCATTAGTGTACGTGTGTATGTATGTGTGGTGTTTACATTTGAACACTTACTTGCATTCTGGCACTACAAGGTGTTCCAGGTTCGTCTTGTATATTGCCTTCCTAATATCAGTCCTAGAATTAGCCATTTCTACAAGGAACACTGGTTCCTTTTATTGAACAGTGGTATTAGAAAATAAGATCTGGGTACTAGGTATTCTTGATTTGACCTACTTTTACTTTCCAGAACGTACCTTAATTTCATACATCTGTGTCTTTGGCCATAATGTTTTCTCTGTATGGAATGTTCTCCACCTTTTATTTGCCTGACGTACTCCATTTCATCTTGAGAAGCACGAAGCCTGCTCAAGTACTGTGTCCTCTGGAATGCATACCTTTATTTTCTGTAGGTCATTTACTGTCTCTTTTTAGTCGTTTTACACATTTTACATACTATTATAGCACATATCCTACTATAGTATTGTTTACATGCTTTTGTCCTCTTAGACAGTGAGCTGCTTCAGGGCAATAGTTGGAGCATTCTTATTTGTTAAAACACAAAAACACACATACGAAATTAAACCAGTTGTCTTTTTGAGGAAAAGGATGGTAGTGATAGTTAAAGGAGGATTTGAATGACTGGTTTTATCAAAACTAGAGTCTGGGGAGTTGGGGAGGTATTGGTCAAAGGATACAAAATTTCAGTTAGGGGGGTAAGTTCATGAGCTGTATTGTATAACATGATGACAGTACTTAATAAGAATGTATGTATTAGAGGCTGGGTGCAGTGGCCCACACCTGTAATCCCAGCACTTTGGAAGGCCGAGGGGGGTGGATCACAAGATCAGGAGTTCGAGACCAGCCTGACCAACATGGTGAAATCCCGTCTCTATTAAAAATACAAAAATTAGTTGGGCATGGTGGCAAGTGCCTGTAATCTCAGCTGCTTGGGAGGCTGAGACAGGAGAATTGCTTGAACCTGGGAGAGGGAGGTTGCAGTGAGCTGAGACTGTGCCACTGCACTCCAGCCTGGGCAACAGAGTAAGACCCTGTCTCAGAAAAAAAAGAAAAAAAGAATATATGTATCATATTTTTGAAAGTTGGGTAGAGAGTTGATTGTAGGTGTTCTCACCAAAAAAATGCTAAAATATGTAGGGTAATACATATGTTAGCCCCATTTAGCCATTCTACAATGTATACATATTTCAAAACATTATATTGTACGTGATAAATATATTCAATTTTTGTTAATTAAAATATATAAATAAAACAACAAACCCCCAAAATCTACAGTCTGAAAATAAATAAAATGAAATAAATAAGAAATAAATGAGTATAGGGACAGCTGGAAACCATTACTTTTGTAACAAAACAATAGATTCAGATTGGTATGATTTATAGAATACTTTGAAAAACAAAAAAATTCAGTATTCTTTAATATGAATTCATATATAATGTAAAAATATAAAAAACATGGTGGTATAACTTTCTCACACTTCTGGGAAGGGAAGAAGGAAAAGAAATGAGATACCAACTTGGGCAACATGGCAAAACCCTGTCTCTACAAAAACAGAAAACGAAAAACAAAGATTAGCTGGGCATGGTGGTCCATGGCTGTAGTCTCAGCTACATTACAGGCTGAGACAGGAGAACTGCTTGAGCTCGGGAGGTTGAGGCTGCAGTGACCTGTGACTGCACCACTGCACTCCAGCCCAGGTGACAGAGTGAGACCCTGTCTCCAAAAAAAAAAAAAAAAAAAAAAAAAAAAGAAAGAAAAGAAAATAAGATGGAGAAGGGATGGAGACTTAAATCATCTATAAACATTTCTGACTTTTTTAGAAAGTGGGTTTGAAATATATAGGGCAGTTGGCTGTGCATGGTGGCTAATGCCAGTAATCCTTGTGCATTGGGAGACTGAGGCAGGTGGATTGTATGAGACCAGTACCTCAAGACCAGCCTAGGTAATAGTGAGACTCCATTTCTACGAAAAGTAAAGAAATTAGCTGGGTTTGGTGGTGCTCGCCTGTAGTCCTAGCTACTTGGGAGCTGAGGTGGGAGGATCACTTGAGTTTAGGAGTTCAGTATTATAGTGAGCTGTGATCACACTACTATACTCTAGGCTAGGTGACAGAGTGAGACTCTGTCTCAAAACAATAAATTAAAAACATATAGCAAATATTAAAATTATGAAGTGTTGATGGAGGGTATACCAGGGTATGGGATGGTTTTATTTTTATGTTTAAGAAATTAGTTTTAAGACAGAATGAAGAAAATAATAAACAATAGACTTTCAAATGGTCTGGTAGACTGAAGACCCTCTTTAATACTAAATAAAATCAGCCAGTAGAATAAAGTATTAACAACAAAAATACTAAATATGGTCAAGCTAGAAAGCAAAAATAGACAATTGTCAGGTACTAGAACCAAAAAGGGAAATCAGTGTCATTGCAATGGTTTTATCAGAACCTCCCAGACTAAGCCCCAAATTTTGGGTCTCACATACCCTGCATCATTTCTACAGTTGCTTTCAGCAACTGGCCCTCTCAACTGGATGTAGATACTAGGGGCTGAAGACTGGTCTTATGCCTGGAGATGAGATATAAGACCTCTGTTCTCTAGCAATGATGCAGGGTATGCGAGACCCAAGATTTGCTTAGCCTGGGAGGTTTCTTGGCTTTGCACAGAAAAGAATTCAAGAATGAGTCAGCAGTGAAACACAGCAACTTTATTAAACTCACACTGCCACCTTGCGGAGCAGGGCTAACCTATAGGCAGTGTGCCGAGAGCCCTTGTGGGCTGTTGGTTAATAATTTACACCCACTTTTAATTACATGCAAATTAAGGCACAGGTTTTTCAGAAATCCCTAGAAAAGGAGTGGTAACTTCTGAGTTGTGGCATTTGTAAAGTATCATGGTGTTGGTCGGAGTATCTTATGCTAATGAACAATGAGTGTCACTAGAGGTTGCTTTTGGCGCCATCTGCAGGTTCTGGCCATTTTCTTAAGTTTGTCTTGCCCAGATGGGGAAGTAAGTCCTGCTGGTGTCTTGTCATACAAGGAAGGAGCTATAAAAGCCTGGCGTGTACATTTCAAATAATGTCTAGTAAAATTTTCGTGAAGATTCAGGGAAGCAGTAAAAAAGGTGACCATTTACCCAGGGCCATAGGGGAAAAAGGCATCGTTAGCCTCAAAAAGTGAGAACTATTTTAGGCTCAGTTCCCGACCAATGCGGTAAAGTAGATATCTGAATAAAGTGAGTCACTAATTTTTTGGTTTCCCAGTGCATATAAGTTATATTTACACTATTATGTAGCCCATTAAGTGTGCAGTAGCATTATGTCTTAAAAAGAAAAGCATGTACCTTAATTTTAAAACACTTTATTGTTAAAAAAAATGCTAATTATCACCTGAGCCTTCAGCAAGTATTAATCTTTTTGCTGGTGAAGGGTCTTGCCTCAACGTTGATAGGTGCTGACTGATCAGGATAGTGGTTGCTGAAAGTTGGGGTGGCTCTAGCAATTTCTTAAAATAAGACAACAATTACATTTGCTGCATTGGTTGGCCTTCTTTCATGAGAGGTTTCTGTGTAGCATGCAGTGCTGTTTGATAGCAATTTTTTTTTTTTTTCCAGACGGAGTTTCGCTGTTGTTGCCCAGGCTGGAGTGCAGTGGCGCAATCTCGGCTCACTGCAACTCCGCCTCCCAGGTTCAAGCGATTCTCCTGCCTCAGCCTCCTGAGTAGCTGGGATTACAGGCACCCACCACCACACCCAGCTACTTTTTTTTGTATTTTTAGTAGAGATAGGGTTTCACCATGTTGGGCAGCCTGGTCTCGAACTCCTGACCTCAGGTGTTCTGCCTGCCTCGGCCTCCCAAAGTGCTGGGATTATAGGCATGAGCCACCGCGCCCAGCCTGTTTGATAGCATTTTACACAAACTAGAGCTTCTTTCAAAATTGGAGTCAATCCTCTCAAACCCTACTGCTGCTTTATCAGTTAAGGTTATGTCATAGTCTAAATCCTTTGTTTACATTTCAACAGTGTTCACAGCATCTACATCAGGAGTAGATTTTCATCTCAAGAAACCACTTTTTTTGCTCATCCATAAGAAGCAACTTCGTATCTATTCAGGTTTTATCATAAGATTGCAGCAATTCATGCATATCTTCACACTCCACTTCTAATTCTAGTTATCTTGCTGTCTTCACCATATCTGCAGTTCCTCTGCTGAAGTCTTGAATCCCTCAAAATTATCCATAAGGGTGAGAATCAACTTCTCCCAAACTCTTGTTGATGTTGATATTTTGACCTCTTCCCATGAATTATGAATGGCATCTAGAATGGTGAATCCTTTCCAGAAAGTTTTCAGTGTACTTTGCCCAGATCCATAAGAGGAATCACTATCTACAGCAGCTATTATAGCTTTATGAAATGTATTTTCTTTTTCTTTTTTTTTTTTTTTTTTGAGATGGAGTCTGGCTCTGTTGCCCAGGCTGGAGTGCAGTGGCGCAATCTCGGCTCACTGCAACCTCCGCCTCCCGGGTTCATGCCATTCTCCTGCCTCAGCCTCCCGAGTAGCTGGGACTACAGGCGCCCGCCACTATGCCCGGCTAATTTTTTGTATTTTTGGTAGAGACGGGGTTTCACCGTGTTAGCCAGGATGGTCTCGATCTCCTGACCTCGTGATCCGCCCGCCTCGTTTTTCTAAATAACAAGACTTGAAATTCAAAAATAATCCTTGACCCATGAGCTACAGAATCGATGTTGTGTTAGCAGCCAGAAAAACAACTTTGATCTCTTTGTACATCTCTATCTGAGCTCTTGAGTAACCAAGTGCATTGTCAATGAATAGTAATAGTTTGAAAGGAATCTGTTTTTCTAAGCAGTAGGTCCCAGAAGCTGGGTTAAAATATTGAGTAACCCATATGGTAAAGAGATGTGCTGTCATTCAGGCTTTGTTGTTCCATTTAGAGAGCACAGGCAGAATAGATTTAGCATAATTCTGAAGAGACCTAGGATTTTCAGAATGGTCAATAAGCATTGGCTTCAGTTGAAAGTCACCATCTGCATTAGCCCCTAATGAGAAAGTCAGCCTGCCCTTTGAAGCTTTGAAGCCAGGCATTGACTTCTCTTTTGCTGTGATGATGTTTTCTTCCAATAGAAGGCTGTTTTATCCACATAGAATGTTACTACTGCTGTTTAGTGTAAGCATCTTCATCAATTAGCTAGGTCCTGAATAAAACTTACTACAGCTTCTACATCAGCACTTGCTGCTTCACCTTGCATTTTCATGTTATGGAGATGACTTCCTTCCTTGAACTTCTTGAGCCAACCTCTGCAAGCTTCAAACTTTTCTTCTGCGTGTCCTCACCTGTGTCGTAGAATGTAAGCAAGTTTGGTCCTTGCTCTGCATTAGGTTTTGGCTTAAGCAAAAGTTTCGACTGGTTTAATCTTCTATTCAGACCACTAAAACTTTCTCTATATTAGTAGTAAGGCTGTTCTGCTTTCTTATTATTTGTATATTCACTAGAGTAACACGTAATTTCCCTCAAGAACTTTTCCTTTGCATTCACAATGTGGCTATTTGGTGCAAAAAAACCTTGCTTTAAGCTTATCTCAACTTTCAACATTTCTTTCTCATTAAGCTTAATCATTTTAAGCTTTTGATTTAAAATGAGAAACATGACTTGAACACTTAGAGGCTATTGTTGGATTATTAATTGGCCTCGTTTCAATATTGTGTCTGAGAGAATAGGGACTCCCAAGGAGGAGAGAGATGGGGAACTGGCAGGTCAGCAGAGCAGTGAGGACACATACAACATTTATTGATGAAGTTCATTGTCTTGTGGGCATGGTTTGTGGCGCCTCAAAACAATTACAATAGTAACATCAAAGATCATAGATTACCATAATATATATAATAATAGTGAAAAAGTTTGAAACATTGCAAGAATTACCAAAATGTGACACAGAAACATGCAATTAGCGTGTACTATTGGAAAAATGGTTCTGATGGACTTGCTCGATGCAGGGATGCCATAAACCTCTAATTTTTTCTTTCTTTTTTATTTTTGAGATGGAGTCTTGCCCTGTCACCCAGGCGGGAGTGCAGTGGCGCAATCTCGGCTCTCTGCAACTTGTGCCTCGCGCGTTCAAGTGATTTTCTTGCCTCAGCCTTCCGAGTAGCTGGGACTACAGGCACATGCTGCCATGCTCAGCTAATTTTTTGTATTTTAGTAGAGACGGGGTTTCACTGTGTTGCCCAGGCTGGTCTTGAACTCCTGAGCTCAGTCAGTCAGTCCGCCTTGGCCTCCCAAAGTGCTAGGATTATAGGCGTGAGCCAATGTGCCCGGCCCCTTCAATTTTTTAAAAATGCAATATCTTCACGGTGCTGTAGAGTGTAATAAAATGTGTTTGCTTATACAAAATTCTGTCAAATGATTAAGATTGAATTCATGCAAATTAAAACTGGTCTAGAACTAATGAAGTCCATAAAGTTCAGCAAATGCATGTACAGGAAACACTTTATAAGGATACCATCATAATGCATGGTATGAAAATAAATCTTTCTGAAGATGAACTCAGTTGTTAGACGTTATATACCACAGGAGAAGCCACAATCACATTCAGCAGATGCCAAAATCATAGAACTAACAACTTGAGAACTGGTAACAAAGAGACTTTAAGGTAGATATGTTTAAAATATGTAAAACTGTAGAGAATAGAACTTATAAGCCAGAAATAGTGAAAAAATAGAATAGATTGGATTTTATAAAGAATCTAAAAGTACATCCTCAAAGAAAAAACTCTATACTAGGTAGGTAAATTGGAAAACTATAGGTTTAAAAAAATGGTATAGAAGATAAAGTAAATCATCACTGTACAAATTTGTATAGAAAATTTAAAAGATGACATGGAGGCTAGAATGAGATGCACCTCCATGGCAAGTAGGAGCTCTGAAAGAGCAGAATTGATTATGTAGGAGAGATAATATTCAAATGAATAAAAGTTGAGAATGTCTTAGATTTACTAAAACATGCAACAACAAACACCATGTCATATACTTAACTCATAATAACAAAATAAAAAATAAGCACTAAAAGCCACCAGAGAATGGGATGATTAGAAAATAAGTAGAAGTGTGGCAGACTCAAGCCCAACCATAATAATTACATGAAATATAAGTACTTTAAATACTTTGATATAGAGGCAGATGTTGTTGTAGTGGATAAAAAGCAAGACCTGACTATAGTCTGTCTAAAAGAAATGTACTATAAAAGTAAAGCCACAGTTAAAAAATATGGAAAATTATATACTATGAAACTATTATTGAAAAGCTAGATGACAATATTAATACCAGACTAAGTAGACTTGAGTACAAGGCATATTACCAAAGATAAAAGAAACATAATCGCGGGAGAATCAATTTTTCAAGAAGGTAACACTTCAAATTTGTGTACACTCATTGTCAAGCAAAAATTGGCAAAACTGAAGGCAGATATAGACAAATCCACAAGTACAAATGGAGATTTTCAGAGTTCTCTCTCAGTAATTAATAGAACAAGTAGAATCAGTAAAGATACAGATAATTTGAACAGTACTATCAATAACTAGACTTAATTGACATTTATAGAGTTAAATGGCAATTCCACACAATAACAGATAGAATACACATTTATATGCATATGAAACATTTAGCAATACAGATTATTGGGCTATTAAGTCTTCATAAATTTCCAAGGATGGAAATCATATAGATAAAGTTCTCCATCCACAATGGAATTAAATTACAAATCAACAGCAAAAAGATGTTTGGAAAACTGCATGTGTTTAGGAATTAAGTAACATTCTTCCAAATACAACACATGGGCCAAAAAACAGATCATGAGGAAAACTTTAGAAAAAACTTTGAACTGAATGATAATGAACATACATATAAAAATTTGTGAGATGTAGCTACAGCAGTGCCTAGAGGTAAATTTACAGCTATAAATGCTTACATTAGAAGGGAAGAAGGGATTAAAATCATTGCTCTATACTTCCACCGTAAGAAGCTGGAAGAGCAACTTAAGCCAAATAAGTGGAAAGAAGGAAATAATAAAGATGAATCCAGAAATGAGTGAAATAAAAAATAGAGAAAATAATGAAAGCAAATACTAGTACTTTCTTTTTTACATTTTTTATTTTATCTTTTTTAAAAAATTTCAATAGTTTTTGGGGAACAGGTGGTGTTTGATTACAATGATAAGTACTTTAGTGGTGATTTCTGAGATTTTGGTGCTCCCATCACCCAAGCACTGTGTACTGTACACAATGTGTAGTCTTTTATCCCTCACCTGACTCCCACCCTTCCCCTCAAGTCCCCAAAGTCCCTTGTATCATTCTTATGCCTTTGCATCCTCATAGCTTAGCTCCCACTTATAAATGAGAACATGCAATGTTCGGTTTTCCTTTCCTGAGTTACTTCACTTAGAATGATGGTCTTCAACTCCTTCTAGGTTGCTGTGAGTGCCATTATTTTGTTTCTTTTTATGGCTGAGTAGTATTCCATGGGATATATATACCACACTTTCTTTATTCACTCATTGATTGATGGGAAGTTAGGCTGGTTCCATATTTTTGTAATTGCAAATTGTGCTGCTATAAACGTGTGTGCAAGAGTCTTTTTCATATAATGACTTCTTTCCCTCTGGGTAGGTACCCAGGAATGGGATTGCTGGATAAAATGATGGATCTACTTTTAGTTCTTTAAGGAATCTCCATGCTGTTTTTCATAGTGGTGTACTAGTTTACATTCCCACCAGCAGTGTAAAAGTGTTCTATTTTCACCACATCCACAGCAACAGCTATAATTTTTTTAGATTTTGATTAAGGCCATTCTTGCAAGAGTAAAGTGGTATCGCATTGTGGTTTTGATATGCATTTGCCTGATCATTAGTGATGTCAAGCATTTTTTCATTTTTTTTTGCCATTTGTATGTCTTCTTTTGAGAATTGTCTATTCATGTCCCTAGCCCAGTTTTTAATAGGATTGTTTGTTTTTTTCTTGCTGATTTGAGTTCCTTATAGATTCCAGATATTAGTTCTTTGTTGGATGCATAATTTACCAAGATTTTCTCCCACTCTGTGGGTTGTCAGTTTATGCTGCTGATTGTTTCTTTTCCTGTGCAGAAGCTTTTGAGTTTAGTTAAGTTTCATCTATTTATCTTGGATTTTGTTCCATTTGCTTTTGTGTTCTTGGTCATGAAGTCTTTGCCTAAGCCAATGTCAAGAATAGTTTTTCCAATGTTATCTTCTTGAGTTGTACGGTTTCAGGTTTTAGATTTAAGTCTTTGATCCATGTTGTGTTGAGTTTTTATAAGGTGAGAGATGAGGATCCAGTTTCATTCTTCTGCATGTGGCTAACCAGTTATCCCAGGATCATTTGTTGAATAGGGTGTTCTTTCCACACTTTATGTTTTTGTTTGCTTTGTTGAAGATTGGTTGGCTATAAGTATTTGGCTTTATTTCTGTTCTGTATTCTGTTGCATTGGTCTATATGCCTATTTTTATACCAGTACCATGATGTTTTGGTGACCATAGCCTTGTAGTATAGTTTGAAGTTGGGTAATGTTATGCCTCCAGATTTGTTCTTTTTGTTTAGTCTTATTTTGGCTATATGGTCACTTTTTCGGTTTCATATGAATTTTAGGATTGTTTTCTCTAGTTTTGTGAAGAATGATGATGGTATTTTGATGGCAATTGCATTGAAGTTCCAGATTGCTTTTGGCAGTATGGTCATCTTTCTAGTATTGATTCTACCCATCCATGATCATGGGATGTGTCCATTTGTGTCATCTATGATTTCTTTCAGCATTGTTTTGTAGTTTCTCTTCTGGAGGTCTTTCATCTCCTTGGTTAAGTATATTCCTAAGGTTTTTTGTTTTTTGTTTTGCAGCTATTTTAAAGGGGGTTGAGTTCTCGGTTTGATTCTCAGCTTGATCACTGTTGGTGTATAGCAGTGCTACTGATTTGTGTATTTGATTTTGTATCCTGAAACTAACACTGAATTCATTTATCATATCTAGGAGCTTTTTGGATGAGTCTTTAGTGTTTCCTAGGTATACAATTATATCATCGGCAAACATCAACAGTTTGACTTCCTCTTTACTGGTTTGGATGTGCTTTATTTCTTTCTCTTGTCTGACTGCTCTGGCTAGGACTTCCAGTACTATGTTGAATAGAAGTGGTGAAAGTGGGCATCCTTATCTTGTTCCAGTTCTCAGGGGGAATGCTTTCAGCTTTTCCTGGAACTTCAGTATAATGTCGGCTGTGGGTTTGTCATTACCTTAAGGTATGTCCTTTCTATGCTGATTTTGCTGAGGGTTTTAATCACAGAGAAATGCTGGATTTTGTCAACTGCTTTTCCTGCATCTATTGAGATTATCATGTGATGTTTGTTTTTAATTTTGTTTATGTGGTGTATCACATTTATTGACTTGTGTATATTAAACCATCCTGGCATCCCTGGTATCAAACTCACTTGATCATGGTGGATTCTCATTTTGATATGCAGTTGGATTTGGTTAGTATCAGTTGTAGTATCTCCCCTTTCATTTGTAATTGAGCTTAGTTGGATCTTTTCTTTTGGTTAATCTCGGTAATGGTCTGTGAATTTTGTTCATCTTTTCTTTTTTTTTTTCTTTTATTATTATTATACTTTAAGTTTTAGGGTACATGTGCACAATGTGCAGGTTAGTTACATATGTATACATGTGCCATGCTGGTGTGCTGCACCCATTAACTCGTCATTTAGCATTAGGTATATCTCCTAAAGCTATCCCTCCCCCCTCCCCCCACCCCACAACAGTCCCCAGAGTGTGATGTTCCCCTTCCTGTGTCCATGTGTTCTCATTGTTCAATTCCCACCTATGAGTGAGAATATGCAGTGTTTGGTTTTTTGTTCTTGCAATAGTTTACTGAGAATGATGATTTCCAATTTCGTCCATGTCCCTACAAAGGACATGAACTCATCATTTTTTATGGCTGCATAGTATTCCACGGTGTATATGTGCCACATTTTCTTAATCCAGTCTATCATTGTTGGACATTTGGGTTGGTTCCAAGTCTTTGCTATTGTGAATAGTGCCACAATAAACATACGTGTGCATGTGTCTTTATAGCAGCATGATTTATAGTCCTTTGGGTATATACCCAGTAATGGGATGGCTGGGTCAAATGGTATTTCTAGTTCTAGATCCCTGAGGAATCGCCACACTGTCTTCCACAGTGGTTGAACTAGTTTACAGTCCCACCAACAGTGTAAAAGTGTTCCTATTTCTCCACATCCTCTCCAGCACCTGTCGTTTCCTGACTTTTTAATGATCGCCATTCTAACTGGTGTGAGATGGTAACTCATTGTGGTTTTGATTTGCATTTCTCTGATGGCCAGTGATGGTGAGGATTTTTTCATGTGTTTTTTGGCTGCATAAATGTCTTCTTTTGAGAAGTGTCTGTTCATGTCCTTCGCCCACTTTTTGATGGGGTTGTTTTTTTTCTTGTAAATTTGTTTGAGTTCATTGTAGATTCTGGATATTAGCCCTTTGTCAGATGAGTAGGTTGTGAAAATTTTCTCCCATTTTGTAGGTTGCTTGTTCACTCTGATGGTAGTTTCTTTTGCTGTGCAGAAGCTCTTTAGTTTAATTAGATCCCATTTGTCAATTTTGGCTTTTGTTGCCATTGCTTTTGGTGTTTTACACATGAAGTCCTTGCCCATGCCTACGTCCTGAATGGTAATGCCTAGGTTTTCTTCTAGGGTTTTTATGGTTTTAGATCTAACGTTTAAGTCTTTAATCCATCTTGAATTGATTTTTGTATAAGGTGTAAGGAAGGGATCCAGTTTCAGCTTTCTACATATGGCTAGCCAGTTTTCCCAGCACCATTTATTAAATAGGGAATCCTTTCCCCATTGCTTGTTTTTCTCAGGTTTGTCAAAGATCAGATAGTTGTAGATATGTGGTGTTATTTCTGAGGGCTCTGTTCTGTTCCATTGATCTATATCTCTGTTTTGGTACCAGTACCATGCTGTTTTGGTTACTGTAGCCTTGTAGTATAGTTTGATGTTCTTTGAAACCAACCAGAACAAAGACACAACATACCAGAATCTCTGGGACACATTCAAAGCAGTGTGTAGAGGGAAATTTATAGCACTAAATGCCCACAAGAGAAAGCAGGAAAGATCCAAAATTGACACCCTAACATCACAATTAAAAGAACTAGAAAAGCAAGAGCAAACACATTCAAAAGCTAGCAGAAGGCAAGAAATAACTAAAATCAGAGCAGAACTGAAGGAAATAGAGACACAAAAAACCCTTCAAAAAATTAATGAATCCAGGAGCTGGTTTTTTGAAAGGATCAACAAAATTGATAGACCGCTAGCAAGACTAATAAAGAAGAAAAGAGAGAAGAATCAAATAGACACAATAAAAAATGATAAAGGGGATATCACCACTGATCCCACAGAAATACAAACTACGATCAGAGAATACTACAAACACCTCTACGCAAATAAACTAGAAAATCTAGAAGAAATGGATAAATTCCTCGACACATACACTCTCCCAAGACTAAACCAGGAAGAAGTTGACTCTCTGAATAGACCAATAACAGGCTCTGAAATTGTGGCAATAATCAGTAGCTTACCAACCAAAAAGAGTCCAGGACCAGATGGATTCACAGCCGAATTCTACCAGAGGTACAAGGAGGAACTGGTACCATTCCTTGTGAAACTATTCCAATCAATAGAAAAAGAGGGAATCCTCCCTAACTCATTTTATGAGGCCAGCATCATCCTGATAGCAAAGCCGGGCAGAGACACAACCAAAAAAAGAGGATTTTAGACCAATATCCTTGATGAACATTGATTCAAGAATCCTCAATAAAATACTGAATTTTGTTCATCTTTTCAAAGAAGCAGCTTTTTGTTTCATTTATCTTTTGTAGTTTTGTTTGTTTCAATTTCATTTAGTTCTGCTCTGATATTGGTTGTTTCTTTTTTTCTGCTGGGTTTGGGTTTGTTTTCTTCTTGTTTCTCTAGTTTCTTGAGGTATGACCTTAGATTGTCTATTTGTGCTCTTTGAGACTTTTTGATCTAGGCATTTAATGGTATGAACTTTCCTCTTAGTACCACTTTTGCTGTATCCCAGAGGTTTTGATAGGTTGTGCCATTATTATTGTTAAGTTCAAATAATTTTTTAGTTTCCATTTTGATTTCATTGTTGACCCAAAGATCATTCAGGAGCGGATTATTTAATTTCCATGTATTTGCATGGTTTTGAGGGTTTCTTTTGGAGTCGATTTCCAATTTTATTCTACTGTGGTCTGACAGAATACTTGATATAATTTTGATTTTCTTAAATTGATTGGAACTCATTTTGTGGCCTACCATATGACCTATCTTGGAGAATGTTCCATGTACTGATGAATAGAATGTATATTCTGCAGTTGTTGGGTAGAATGTTCTGTAAATGTCTGTTAAGTCCATTTGTTCTAGGGTATAGTTTAAGTTCATTGTTTCTTTGTTGACTTTCTGTCTAGTGCTGTCAGTGGAATATTGAAGTCTCCTGCTATTACTGTGTTGCCATCATCTCATTTCCTAGAGCTTTTATAAATGGGAGCTCCAGTGTTTAGTGTATGTATATTTAGCATTGTAATATTTTCCTGTTGTACTAGTCCCTTTATCATTATATAATGTCCCTTTTTGTCTTTTTTAACTGTTGTTGCTTTAAAGTTTGTTTTTTTCTCATATAAGAATAGCTACTCTTGCTTGCTTTTGGTGTCCATTTGCCTGGAATATCTTTCCCCTTTACCTTAAGTTTGTGTGAGTCTTTATGTGTTAGGTGAGTCTCTTGAAGACAGCAGATATTTGGTTGGTGAATTCTTATCCATTCTGCCATTCTATATCTTTTAAGTGGAGCATTTAGGCCATTTACGTTTGATGTTAGTATTGAGATGTGAGGTGCAGTTACTCTATTGTGCTAACAAATACGAGATCTTATTCCTCTATCTGACTGTGTTTTTGTACCCATTAACTATCCCATCTTTATTCTCCTCTGCCCACTGCCCTTGCCAGTTGCTCGTTACCATCATTTTGCTCTCTATCCAGCGTTCTCTATTTTTGACACTTTATTCCTCTGATTTCTTTTAGCTTTTTGTTCATGGTATTTTAGCTCTATAAGTATGTTTAAGATGATGATTGATAGACTTTGTCTACTGAGTTGGATGTCTGTTTTTCCTCTGTACAGCTTCTGTTAATTTCTCTCTTGAATGGGCCACATACTTTGTTGGTTCTCTGCATACTTTACATGTATTTAAATAGACATTTAAAACATACAGTATGATATCTCTGGAAGTTAGATTGGTCCTCATTCCCATGTGTTTTTTTTTTTCGTTGCTTTCTGTGGGTTGCAGTTGTTTGTTTAATGACTTCTAAACTATTTTTGTAACTTTGTTTTCTTTGTCATAAGTGGTTCCTGTCTTAGTCTATTTGTCCATCATAACAAAATACAATAGTCTGGTTGGCTTCAACAAATGACATTTATCTCCTTGTAGTTCTGAAAGCTGATTGTGTGTCATCAGGGTACCAGAGTAGTCAGTTTCTGGTGAGGGCTCTCTTTCTCACTTGCAGATGGCTGCTGTCTTGCTGTGTTCTCACCTGATGGGGTGGTGAGGGAGACAGAAATTTTTTTTTTAATTATTTAGTTTTCCTTTCTAGTCTTTCAAGCTTGAAACAAATTCTTTGGTATCTCTTCTTACAAGGGCATTAATCTTTTTTTTAAATAACTTTTTATTTTTATGGACTTAGGAATACAAGTGCAGTTATGTTACATGGATATATTGTATAGTGGTAAAGTTTGGGCTTTTAGTGTACCTATCACCTGAATAGTGTACACTGTACCCAATAAGTAGCATTTTTGTCCCTTACTACCTCCTACCCTGCCACATTTTGGAGTCTCCAGTGTCTGTCATTCTACTCTGTATGTTTATGTGTCTCCATTGTTTAACTCTCACAAGTAAGAACATACGGTTTTTGACTTTCTGTTTCGGGGTCATTTCACTAAGGATAATGGCCTCCAGATTCATCCATGTAAGGGCACTAATCCTATCATGAAGATTCTACCTTCATAACCTCATCTAGTCCTAGTTACCTCTCAAAGACCTCATCTCCAAATACCATCATAGTGGATTTTAGGATGTCACCATAGGAGGATACAGATATTCAATCCATAGCAGTCTCTTGTTTTTAATATGTGGTCTACTAGTGTTTTGTTTTTCAACTGTTGTTTTAGATTCAGGGAGTACAGATAGAAGTTTATTACCTAGATATATTGTGTGATGCTTGAGGTATGAAATGATCTTGTCACTCAGGTACTCAACATAGTACTGAATAGTCAACCCTTGCCTCTCTCCCCATTCTAGTAGTGCAGTTTTATTGTTGCCTTCTTTCTGTCCATGAGTACCTGATGTTTAGCTCTCACTTATAAGTGAGAAAATGTGGTGTATTGTTTTTTCTTTCTGCATTAATTCGCTTAGGATTATGGCTTCCAGCTTAACCCATGTTGCTGCAAAGGACATGACGTAGTTCTCTTGATGGCTGCATAGTATTCCACAGTGTATACATGCCACATTTTCTTTATCCAGTCCATTGTTGATGGGCACATGGGTTGATTCCATGTCTTTGCTATTGTGAATAGTGCTGCGATTAACGTGTGAGTGAATTTGTCTTTTTGGTACAATGAATTTTTTTTTAATATATACATAGGGATTTCTGAGTTAAATGCTGTTTTAAGTTGAGAAATCTACAAACTGCTTTTGTAGTAGCTGAACTAAGTTGTATTTCCACCAACAGTGTATAAATATTCCCTTTGTATCTGCGGCCTCACTAGCATCTGTTTTTTAAAAAATATATTTTAATAATAGTCACTTTGACTGGTGTGAGATGGTATGTCATTGTAGTTTTGATTTGCATTTCTCTGTGATTGGTGATGTGGAACATTTTTTCATGTTTGTTGGCCATGTGTACGTCTTCTTTTGAGAAGTGTCTGTTCATGTCCTTTGCCCATTTTTTAATGGGGTTACTTGTCTTTTGCTTGTTGATTTAAGTTGCTTATAGATTCTGGATATTAGATCTTGTCACATGTGTAGTTTGTGAATATTTTATCCTATTCTGTAGGTTGTATGTTTACCCTGTTGATAGTTTCTTTTGCTGTGCAGAAGCTCTTTAGTATAATTAGGTCTAACTTGTCAATTTTGGTTTTGGTTGCAGTTGATTTTGATAACTTAGTAGTAAATTCTTTGCCAAGATTGATGTCCAGAATGGCATTTCTTAGGTTTTCTTCTAGATTCTTATAGTTTGAGGTCTTACATTTAAATCTTTAATCCATCCTGAGTTAATTTTTGTGTATGGTGAAAAGTAGGGGTCTAGTGTCATTCTTCTGTACATGGGTAGCCAGCTATCCCAGCACTGTTTGTTTATTCAATAGGCAGTCCTTTCCCTATTGCTTATTTTTGTAGGCTTTGTTGAAGATCAAATGGCTGTAGTTGTGCAAGCAGCTTTATTTCTGGGTTCTCTATTCTGTTCCATGAGTGTTTATGTCTGTTTTTGTATCGATTCCATGCTGTTTTGATTATTGTATCCTTACAGTATAGTTTGAAGTTGGATAATGTGATGCCTCCAGCTTTGTTCTTTTTGCTTAGGATTACTTTGGCTATTTGGGCTCTTTTTTGATTCCATATGAATTTTAGTTTTTTCTAGTTTGTGACAAATAACATTGGTAGTTTGATAGGAATAGCATTGAATCTCTGGATTGCATTGGGCAGTGTGGCCATTTTAATGATATTGATTCTTCCAACCTGTGAGCATGGAATGTTTTTTATTTGTGTGGTCTCTGATTTCTTTCAGCAGTGTTTTGTAGTTCTCCTTGTAGAGATCTTTCATCTCCTTGGTTAACCACATTCCTAGGTATTTCATTTTCTTTGTGGCTATTGTAAATGGGATTATATTCTTGATTTGGCTTTCAGCTGGAGTGTTATTGGTGTGTAGAAATGCTACTGATTTTTGTACATCGATTTTTGTGTCTTGAAACTTTACTGAAGTTATCGGTTCCAGGATCCTTTTTGCAGTCTTTAGGGTTTTCTAGATACAGAATCATATTATTTATGAAGTGAGATAGTTTGACTTCTTCTTTTCCTATTTAGATGCCTTTTATTTCTTTCTCTTGGTTGATTGCTCTGGCCAACACTTCCAGTACTATGTTGAATATAAGTGGTGAGAGTGGACATCCTTGCCTTGTTTCAGTTCTCAAGAGGAATGCTTCCAGTTTTTGGCCATTCAGTATATTAGGTGTGAGTTAGGCTCTTATTATTTTGTGATATATTCCTTTGATGCCTACTTTCTTGAGGGTTTTCCTTGTAAAGGGATGTTGGGTTTTATTGAAAACTTTTTCCGCATCTATTGAGATGATTGTGTGGTTTTTGCTTTTAATTCTGTTTGTGTGGTGAATCATATGCCCAACCAACCTTGTATCCCAAGAATGAAGTATACTTAATTGTGGTTAATTTACTTTTTGATGTGCTGTTGGATTTGGTTTGGTGGCCTGAGAATAAAATGCCTACACTGCCATGAGCTGGGTCACCAGAGAATGGCTGACTTTATTAATGTGCCCAGCTTAAAAATGGCATCCTGCTAGTTAATATTTGCTTAGTTTGGTCACAAGTATGTCCTCATATATTTTTTTCAAGAACAACACCAGAAATATAATTTCATATATGTAGTTAATTTTTTCTTAGTATTTATGTTAAAGGGGTAAAAAGAAATGTGTGAAATTAATTTTAACATGTTTTATTTAAGCTAGTATGTCAAAAATTTCCATTTCAACATGTATTCAGAGGAAAAATTATTAATGAGATAGCTTACATTTTTAATTTTGGTGCTAAGTCTTACCTGGTGTGTATTTCGTACTTATAGCACATCTTAACTCAGTTGAGCCACATTTCAAGGACTCACTAGCCACATGTGTCTAGCAGCTACCAGAGAGCGGCTGGTAGTGGCTATCAGACAGCACAGATCTAGTTTTATAGTTTTCGATTTTAGTTTAGGTCTAGGTCTGTTATATATTTTGAGTTAGTTTTTATATAAAGTGCATGGTATGGGTTGAAATTCATTTGTTTTACATGTGGTTGCCCATGAGAATCTTTGACTAAAAGTTGTTCTTGGTAATTAGAGATCATCCTGGGTATCAAAGCTCAAAATTTAAATATACTTTCTTTTCCTGCTTTATTGTCTTTTTTTCAGAGCAATGTAAATTTACTTTGTAATTAACAATGTTCACACCATATATGTAAAATGCTTAGAAGTGTTAAACTTTTAGTGTTTTGGCTTTATTCATATACCTATTTGAATTTAAATTACATATTATGCTATTTACATTTTTAAGTCTGATTTACCTCCCTATTTCTAAAATTATATGTAAAATGCTTATTTACTTTCTTTCCAGGCATGTACTGGCATTGAAAACATTGACGAAGCTATTACATTGCTTGAACAAAATAATTGGGACTTAGTGGTAAGTACTTTTTTCTTTCTCTGATGAGTAATCAAATTTTATGAATTCTTGAATGTCTTTAATTATTTTTTATAGATGGGTTCAGCATACCATAGCTCATCTATAACTCTAAGCTGAGTTAATAAAGTCTAAATGCCATATCTTTAATATGAAGTTTATATTTAGCTCAGTATTAAGTTATTATGAATACTTAGATAATTTAATTGACTTTTAAAGTTTTTCTCTTATTTTACTGTGTGTTATGGTTCATCTTCCCACGTAATTTTTTGGTGGAGATGCTCGGAAGGAGAGAAGAGTCAGAGTTGTCTGTCTGAATAACATATTTGATGTTTCCCCCTCACTTCTGGGGCCTTCACTGATAATTAATCTTTTCTAAAGCTGTTAAAGTAGTTGCATTCTGCTATGGTTTTCCTTAGAAACTTCAGGCAGTATATTATAGAGGTGGCTTAGTTTTTTCTTTTTTGGCAGTAATCAAAAGGCGAGGCACAGCATAGCACTAAACATTCACCTATTACAAAGCAAACCAAAAATGGATTGTATAATGGCATTGGAGCAGTATTGGTTGTGTCAGGATGACACAGATGTCTCTTAATGCCTTAGAAATGCTAAAAAAAAAAGTTTAAATTATAATTTTGAAGAAGTGCTAATTTTCAAAAGTCAAAACTTAAGATGTGTACTTATAGAAGTGAGTTTAGATATGTAGGTATATGCACACATATGTTATGTGGACTTACATAATTAACTCTTGGTGTCTGTGTGCTTTATGTAGACTTAATACTTTTTTAAACTCAAAATATGAAAAGCTTTTCTTTTCAGATTAAAAGTAATGATGCTTAATGTAATGAAATGAGATGAAAAATTTACAAAGAAAATATTAATTACCTTTAATCCCATCACTCAGATAATAATTGTTTCACATTTTTAAGGTATATTATTCCAGATTATCTTCTATAATTATGTGATTAAATTTAAAAAATAGACAACTGAGATTGTTTTATACCTTCTGTTCTGTAATCTGCATTTTTCACTTAATTGTGGCTGTTCATCATTCTTTTTAATGTTTGCATAGTATTTCATAGTGTCACTGTAACATAATTAACCAACTAGTCCTATGCTGTTGGGTATTTAAGATTTTTGCAGCATTTTGCTATTATGAACATTACTGTAGAGAACATTCCTGCATATACATGTTACATATTTAACCTATTTTTTTCAGAAGAAATTGAATAAATTCAATTCATAATTGAATTTCTGAGGCAAATTACATGCATATTTTTGGAGTTTTGAATACTTTTAACCAAATGGACTTCCAGATTGGTTTTACTAATTTAAAATTCTACCAACTATGTATATTTTTGATATTTCCATTTCATTAAACCAATGCTTCCTTATCTTTTTTGTGTTTTGGTACTTGTCAAAATTTACAAATATTTGTATAGCTTGACTCTAAATTCATGCTTTTAACCATTGTTGCTATACTCCAACAAAGCATGATATAGGTGACAGCTCCATGATTGCCATGTAGAGGAAGGGAGAAAGAGCAGTGGCTTAATCGAAACGATGCTCCCAAGTTTCTTGTCTTGAGTCTTCTTTTGCAATAATAAGTGCTTTGCTTTATTTAGTTGTATATTTTGGGAGTGTCTATTAGAGAGGCTGATGGAAGTTATTGGGGTGGTTAAAAATTCCTCCAAGCCCCTCTTGCATGATACTTGTAAGAGGGATATGGAATAGAGGAAAGGGTGATGGTGGGCTGGGAGTACAAGTCTTTAATGGAGGAATTACCAGTTTTGGGGATGGATATATGTTCTTTCCTTATCTGCTTCCTATTGGTTCGTGTCCACTAATTTTGAAGGTTAAAACACTTACTGGTAGTGAATATTTTTATCAGTACAGCCTATGCAGAATATTGTAAAAGGAGAATTTTCCCAGATAATGTTGAATAATTGAATGGTAAGGTACTCTTCCACTATTTCTGAGTTATTTTATTTTGGAGAATATTCTAACAACACTTGGGGTTAAAACACTGGTGTTATATTTGTGCAGAAATGCAATCATACACTGTATCAGGCCCAAGCAAAAACATCAGGCTATCTTTCAGAACCTTAAATTTTGGCTTTCTTTTGAGATATGTCTATCTCCTAGCTGGCTTTTCTTCACAAATAATTCACTTTTATTCACAGTAAAGATTTATTGTGCTTTGTAACTATCTTGCTGTTTACATTTTATCATTTATCCTGTTTTCATGCAGCATTCACTTTGTTGTTTTTAAAAATGAAACAAATATTTTGAATAATCCATCACTAGTTTAAACTTTTCAGTAGCATCATGGAACTTTATGTGATGTCCTCTATATTTTGCCTGTGTGTTATAGTTTGTGTTTATAAATTATGACTATCACTGATCTGCATTTTCTAGGGTTTACAGAACAGTTTGCATTAATTGAGTTGTAACCTCGGATATGTCTGTATTTTATATTTCCTGCACATATCACTTGGACCTCTTCTCCAGTGTTTTTGTGCACATTTTTGCTAGGGAAATGTAAAGGAATCTGAGTTAGGCACTACAATCTGGAATTGTGATGAACTTAAAAAAAATCTAATAAAAAAACACATTCAGTGAGCACTGAGTGCTTACAGTGCATCCAGATTTTTGCTAGATAAAGAGTGGGGGCTTAAAAAATATAACAAGATGTAGTCTCTAACTTTGAGAATTGTGCTAAAAAATCAATAAGACACATGATCTCTGATCTGTGTGTATTACACAGGTCAAGTATTCCTTATCCGAAATGCTTGGGACCAAAAGAATGTCCAGATTTTGGATTTTTTCAGATTTTGGTATATTTACATTATACTGTTGAATATTAGTATCGCTAATCCAAAAATCTAAAATCCAAAATGTTCAATCGAGGATTTCCTTTCAAACATCATCCAAAATGTTCCATCGAGCATTTCCTTTCAAACATCATCCAAAATGTTCCATCGAGCATTTCCTTTCAAACATCATCCAAAATGTTCCATCGAGCATTTCCTTTTGAACATCATGTTGGCACTCAAAAGATTTAGGATTTTGGAGCACTTTGGATTTTGGATTTTTGGATTAGGGATGCTCAAAGTAACTTCCTAAAAAAACGGTGATTGCAAATATTTTAGCTATTTTGTAGATCTAAACACACTGATAACAGCTATTCTATAGGAAAATAGAGCCCAGTCCTAGGAGTTCTGATTATTAGTCACTTTCCCAGACCTGGCACATTATTTTTGTTATGTGGGCTGCTGTCTGCAAAAGAGGTATTCCAAACTCTATGTTTTAAGTACTCTACACTTGGCTCCACTTATTTTGGGGTAACTGCAGGTTAGATTATATATGTCAAAATTCTGAAAACAAAGTTACATGTACTAATACTTTTAGGAAATGTCTCAGCCTACTGTTTTACTTGACAGGAACCCTGTAGGTCTGTCCCAAGGTTATCTCCCTCTGACTGTTACCATTTTTCACATTGTCCTGCGCTTAGAGTTAAGAGAAGATGAATGTCATTACAGCTGAGATTCCTCCCTTGAGATGAGTATTTTCCATTTATACCCAGAAAGGTAAGTACATAAGGAAGAACTAGTGACAGTGAGTTAGAATCTTTTACCAAAGGGCTGTCTTTTTCCGTGGAAGTGTGCTACATGAACATTATAAATTCTAATCTGGGCCCCAGAATTGACCCACGTCTCACTTTCTGTTTTCACTATAGAAGAATTTGGGTCAGGGGAGAATAAAAATCTATATGGCTTGTGTAATTTTGACTAATCAAAATGTTAGCTATAGTGGTAAACACACTGCATTAATTGAATGAAGAGCCCTGGCTTTTCAGACCTCTTAGTAATTTATTGAGTATGGCCTTGGCTAAGTTACTTCTCTCTAACTTCTGAATTCCTCATATAAAATGAAGGGTTTGTACCCTAGATTATACTCAAGCTTCCATGATATATGAAGTATTTCTGAAGGATCTATTTTGTCCTAATTTTTTGTTAAAATTCAATGAATAGCAGTCAATTATAAATAGTAGTACAGATTTTTAATAGATCTTCATAAGTTTGAAACATTTGTATACATACTATTAAAAATTATTTTGACAACTTTATAGTGTAGATGATGGCAGGAGAAGATGCTCTGCCACTTATTTTACACACGGTCTCTAGATATGAAACTCCTTCAATAAATTAAAATTTCCAATAATCTGTAGCAGATCCAGGGAAAGATATCTGACATATACTTGATAACCCAATGTTAAGTGAAATAAAGTGAAAGTAAACATTAACCTAGCCATACTACGTTTTAAGTACTTGATACTCTTAGGAAATGATTTTTGAACTTTGCACTCAATTTCTGCTGTAGTTTGCTGCCTGTGCTGACATTGCTGTTTTGCTGAAGAAAGACTCTATTCAGAGTGCTTATATTTGTCTTTAACTACATGTTTCAACCTACAAGAGTGAAACAAATCCGCATATGTGTTTCTATATTGTCATGGAATTTTTAGTCCTCGAAGATAATTTTGTACTAATAGAAGCTTATAGTACAGTCATATACACTGAAGAGTCAAAACTAAGGAAAATTGTACTGCACATAATCTGCCTCATTTTAAGATCCATTGAGGTACTTTGAGAAATTTCCTCCAATTTTCACTTTTGAAGGAACATATCTTAATGTTTGCCCTAAAATTTCATGTAGCAGTTCCACTACTCTGCTCAGGATGTGGCTGTAGAGGTCCTCAAATGTGCACTGCTTTTCTACTTTATACAGTGTTATGAACACCTGCAGTTTTATGAATGAATAGACTAACCATTGATAATAATGAGTCTCTGTCCTCATCCGAAAGCAGCCAAGCATTGAGCACTGCCCTTCATCAGTGGCTATCAGACACTGGTTTATATTTGCACAGATGCTTGCTACAACAAAAGATAAGTTACTGTGAAAGAATAGCTCATCATATCAATTTCTGCTTCTTTGCTACAGCCCATTATTTACAAAATTTTTCAATTTCTCTGTTTTTTAACCTGACAACCATTCCATCTTCTATTGTCTCTTCTTTAATTGAGGGTTTATTTTGTGTTAGGCATCATATCCAGTGATACACTTACATTATTTCACTTAATCCTCACAGCAGTCCCCAAAAGTAAATAGGTAAATGTTAGTTTTATTATATAGATGAGAAACTGAGGGCTAATGAAGTTAAGTAAACTGTCCAAGCTCACATAGCTGTTAAGGGGTAAAGTTTTGAACCCAGGCCTGTCAGTTCATGAGGAATTGTCATAGCGGTAAACCACATTTTAAGATTACTTATCACATTTTCCCTACCTAGTATGCTTTTCTTCTCTGTACTGGCTTTTTTCTTCCTACCACTTATAAATAATATCATATTGAGCTTTGGCTGTAATCACATAGTAGTGCTTTACTCTAAATACATTTCTGCTTTGTTTTCAAATAGATTCTCAGTTCTAGAGGAAGGGAATTGTGTTTCTTATTAATTTTGTCTGTGACATATAGTAATTGCCTAATGAATACTTGACTGATTGAGTTATTAGCAAGCTTACTTTTAGGTCTGTTCTTTCTCTATTGTTTGGATATTTGAACGTCTTTGCTGTTAAGACTTCTGACTCTTACTGATATTACTTTTTCTTGTCTGGCAAACATAAGGTTTGAGGAAAGAGCGGGACAACCCAGACACCCAAGGAATAAGAAAGGGTTAGTTTTGATATCTAACTAGTAAAATTACATGATTTCTACCTATTGTGGCTTTTTTTGAGAAATACTTTTCATGAATCTTTTCTTTGCATTTTTTTTCTAAGCATGTCATACAAATCTTTTTTTCTTTCCTGTTTATATTTGGTTGTGCCATTCTATATAAGGAAAGCTCATTATATAGCCTAACCTATTTGAAAGTTTTTATCGGTTCTGATTCTCAGGAGAAAACTTGGGGTGATAAAACACTGCTAAACTATAATTAAATAGTTATGAAAGAATTTTTTTTTTTTACCTTTCCGAGGAAAATCTC
This sequence comes from Homo sapiens, assembly GCF_000001405.40. Taxonomy (NCBI): domain Eukaryota; kingdom Metazoa; phylum Chordata; class Mammalia; order Primates; family Hominidae; genus Homo; species Homo sapiens. Next base: position 50,851,891 of record NC_000001.11, on the reverse strand, counting down.
AGTTTTTAGAAACATGAAATTTTCAGTTCACTAAACTCACATTGGTTTACCTGATCAAATTGAAACCTTTTGAGGTTCACAGTTTTTCTTGATGGCAATTTTACCTTCTGCTTATTTTTACATTGGATCTTGCTCTACCTGTTGTATCACTTTTCCTATAATCTAGTTCTAGAATTACTTTATTGCATGAAAGAAACATCTGTTTTATAAAATCTATGGTAGACAACAGTTCAGAGGCTTTAGGACCCAGTAAAAATGTGCTGTGTTAATCATCTAGCAGAACACGCTGGTGCCCATGGTTGAATGCAATTTGGAAATGTGGCTAATATGTACTGTTTTTTGATATCTAGTACTACTTATGTAAATTGGCAGTATAAATATATGTTTTAGAAAATAAACTAAATGAAATAGGGATTCAGCTCACAGCGGGAAAACCAATTTAGAGGCTTCATGCTAATTCTGAAAGAAGTAGCATATGCTGCTTAACGACTTGGATATTTAAAAGAAAATAAAAATTTAGACTTGGTGCAGTGGCTCACGCCTATAGGCCCAGCACTTTGGGAAGCCAATGCGAGTGGGTCACTTAGTTTGAGACCAGCCTGGTCAACAAGGCAAAACCTCGTCTCTACCAAAAAATACAAAAATTAGCCCCGCTTGGTGGCGCATGCCTGTGGTCCCAGCTACTCAGGAGGCTGAGATAGGAGGATCACTTGAACCTGGAAAGCAGAAGTTGTAGTGAGCTGAGATCGCACCATTGCATGACAGCCTGGGTGACAGAGTGAGACTGTCTCAAAAAAAAAAAAAAAAAAATGTAAATTGCTCCATTTTTAGGATTGTTCATATCAATCAGATGCACTGTGTACTGATATTTTTTAAAGCTTACTAACCTACAATTTAGCTTGATTTAATTTCTATTACTGGAAGTTTAAACAAAATATCATTGTAGCAAAGTCAGTGGTTTAGCACACCTGTAAATATGATGCCTTGGCAATTCTTCTTGCTAGTTTCAAAAATCAGCTGACATAAATCAGTGTGTACTTGGAAAAGAAAAAATAATATGACAGTTAAAATTCCTGTTCATACTGTCAGTTTTTTAAAAATTTGCTATTTAATGATAATATAATTTCTTAAAATTTCTAGTTATACTTCTCTATCTTTAAGTAAAATATTAATTAAAGTGTTCATGTACAAAATTTCTGTTTCCTACTTATACCTGCCAGGTACTCATTTTTTTATCTTTTAATAAGATGTTTTTGGATTTGATTTAATTTGATGCTTTAGTTATTTTTTAATATTTTATATTTTTATATTATGCTCATCTAAATACTTCATCTCTTGTGCATGTACTCAGTTTCTCTCAAACACATACTTGCTCTATATCTTAAAAAGCCAAGTTTAAAATTTATCTATGTGGTAAATATAATTCTTCAGATTCCAAGGTTTTCTGAGATTAATCTTTGTGTACATACATCTGCTTTAGTTACAGGAAACTGAATAATGGAATTGTTCTTTAAAGGCCTCTGTTACTGGATTTGGGCTTTCCTCTTTAGCTTAATGTTGAAAGTTCTAGCATTTAACCCCTCCTCTTCATCATGAATGAGTTTCCATAACTCCTGGAGTATGTATAGCTTCGTAATCCAGCTAGTTAGCCTATATTCTCAGACATGCCGTATGTATTTCTACCTCTAAGTTTTTTGCTATTATAGATCTCCCTTGGATGTTTTCCTCTATTTCTTGTTGACCATTCAATTTTTTTTTTTTTTTCGTAGCTCCTAACCCTTCAGGAACTATCCAAATTTCATCTTTCCTTTAAAGCTGACCCGAAGTTTTATCCCTTTTATTCCTTAACAGACTATTCTTTCAGTAGGGACACCTGACACTATTTTGTTGCCTCTTTCCCTCACACACACAATTCTGCATTTAAAGAGAATGTGTATTGTTGAAAGGATTTAAATGATTTCCAGCTAGGGTGTGTAAGGAAGAGCTGTATTGATAAATGTACACTTTGATTCATAGATATAGCAGGGGAAATGCATTATATGATACCTTTAATAAAGCCATGACTAGTGGCTGTGTAGATGTCTTTGAAGATATTTAAGTAGCTCTAATGTAATGCTATGTTGTTACCAACATGTTGGCATTTTGACTCTTTTTTTTACAAGGATATTTATTATGTTTTACTTATGCCAAAACTGACGTATAGTTCTAGAGGTTAGTAGTCTATATAGTCTAGAGGTTAGTAGCCTATATAGTCAGTCATTCTGTATAGTACACTATAGTCTATATAGTCTGTATAGACTAAAATATAGTCTATATTTTAGGAGTGTGGCAAGTCCAATAGCACTCTCACAAATTCTATGCTTGAATTTTGGGACTTATTTTTTTCTTAGTAATTGATTTACTGCACAGAGGATTAATATTTTAAAATGTATAATGAGTGATAGCAGTGTGTTTAGAATGCAAGGATATCTAAAAATGTAAAGGAACTACAGAAAAATTGCAAAATAGTGTAGAGCTCTAAATACCCTTTTTCAAACTTCTGCTAATGTTAACATCTTATAAATACAGTACACAACAATTGGCATAGTGCTACTGGTAATTTTCTTTTTTCTTTTTTTTTTTTTTGAGACGGAGTCTCACTCTGTCGCCTAGGCTATAGTGCAGTGCTGTGATCTTGGCTCACTGCAACCTCCACTTCCCGGGTTCAAGCGATTCTCCTGCCTCAGCCTCCTGAGTAGCTGGGATTACAGGCATGTGCCACCACTCCTGGATAATTTTTTTTTGTGTGTGTATTTTTAGTAGAGGCGGGGTTTCACCATATTGGCCAGGCTAGTCTCGAACTCCTGACCTTGTGATCCACCCACCCTGGCCTCCCAAAGTTCTGGGATTATAGGCATGAGCCACTGCGCCTGGCTTAGTACAATATTATTGACTAAACTACTGACCTTATCTGACTATTACTAGATTTTCTACTAGTGTGCTTTTTCTGGTTCAAGATCACATTTAATGTCTACAATACATTTAGTTTTCACGTCTCTGTAGCCTCTCCCAACTTGTGCTGATTCTTCAGCCATTCCTTGTTCCATGACCTTGACACTTTGAGAGATTACTGATCAGGTATTTTGGAGCATGTTCCTCAGTTTGGGTTTGTCTGATGTTTTTTCATGAGAGAGTGAGTTTATGCATTCTTGGAAAGAATATCACAGGTGTGATTTTTTATTTTTCATAGTGTAACAGGAGGTATATGATGTCAATATGTGTTATTACTGGTGCTGTTAACTTTGACATGTGGTTAAGATAGCGTCTCCCAGTTTTCTCCAATGGAGAGTTACCATGCTTCCCTTTGTAATTAGTAAGTATCTTGTGGGAAATATTTTGAGACTATGCAAATATCCTGTTTCTTATTAAACTTTTGCCAATGAATTTTTTATTCTCCATTGACATAATTATACCTCTTAAAATTATTTTTAGTAGTTATCCTAGGTTTCACAATATAATCAGACAGATTCTACAGTTAGGTAATAATACTGCTTCATTTAACAGCCCTATACGGCATTGTATTTCCAATTCTTCTCGCACTTTTTTGGTATTATTTTTGTCATGCAATTTACTTTTGCATATGCCAGGAACATAATATTTTGCTACTGTTTTTACTTCTGGTAGTCAGTTATCTGTTTGAGCAATTAAATGTGGGGGGAAAGTTAATTTAATTATCATTTGTTTTATTTCCATTGTTTTTTTTAAATTATTTTTTGGTATAAGTTTAAGTTTTTGTCTGGCATATTCTTTCTGGGTGAACTACTTTAGCATTTCTTGTAGAGTACATTTGTTGGCAATAAATTCTCAGTTTTTTGTTTGGGGAAGTTTTTATTTCTTCATTTTTGAAAGATGCTTTCACTGGATATGGAATTCTGTGTTGACAGCCTTTTTTAAGATGTTTCTTTGTGTTTGTTTTTCATAGTTTGAATATGATATGCCTAGAGGGGTGTGTGTGTGTGTGTGTATATGTGTGCATTTGTTTGTGTGTTTCTAAAGCCTTACAGCCTTGGGTGCTGTTGGTGCTCTTGGATCTGTGATTTTGAAATATTTTTCTTTTTTATTGAGGAGAAATTTATATAATATACAGTTAACCATTTTAAAACATACAATTCAGGGATATTTAGTGTATTCACAATGTTGTGAGCCCACCAGCTCCCTCTAGTTGGTTTTGAAAATTCATGATTAATTTTTTCTTTTCTTTCTCTCTCCTCTTTCTAAGATTCTGACTATGCATATATTAAATAGTTTGTTTTTTGTTCTACAGCTTTTGTTTGTTCTTTTCAGTGTGTTTCAGTTTGAGTAATTTCTGTAGCTCTAGTAATTTCTATAGATCTATCTTCAATTTCACTTATTCTTTCCTTGACTGTGTCAGTTCTACTGATGAGACTGTTGTGGACATTCTTCATCTCTGTTACTGTTTTTTTTTTTTTTTTAATTTCAGGCATAGTTTATCTTTTTTTGCTGTAATTACCCATCTGGCTTAGGTATTGTCTGTTTTTCTATTTGAGCCTTTAGCATATTAATCATAGTCATCTAAAATTTCCTGTTCTAACATCTGTGTCCTATCTCAGTCTGTTTTTTTTTAATTTCTAAAATCACGTTTATTATCAAAGCCAAAATTGCCCATATAATTAATACATTAGTCTTCAATTTTTATTTCTGCATGATTATGCAGTCTGAATGACTAACTCACAATCCCAGGTGGTATTACAAGTTTTGCTCTTCAGAATGGTGTTACTGTTGTAAGGGGAAAAGTCCTCACTGACAAAGAAATGAAAACAAAATCAAGAATGATCCGCTTGTATCACAGATTACAGAGAAGCTGTCAGTGAGCAGTTCCTCACCTCTTGCAGCAAAGGGGATCAAGGGCTAAAAATATCTCAGAAAAATCAAACAGCACCTGCAATACACTCTTATATATAAAAGGCCAAGCTTGTAAACTATTTCTTCTCATCCATGCTGCTCAAATATGAAGGGATTAAATATAAGGCTAATTCCTGGTGAATCTTCTCACTTCTTCCTCTTCTTTGTGTAATATAATTTTCCTTTAAGTGGGATTGGGACAATCCCTTCACATTCTTTTAGTTCCTGGGTCAGAGGGTGTTTGACAATATTCGGTCTAATCACATCTACGTTTGGAGAAGTGCTCCATCATGCTTTCAACAGTTGTGGTTGGTGCATAAAAATTCACCAGGAAATACCCGCCTCTGTTGTGCCACTGATTGTGGGTGGAGATCTTACAAGGAAGCGCTCACTCACCCAGGTTTTCCAAGTTCCTCACTATTGCTCCTTTTTCCATCAGAACCTCTATCGTATGTTTCAAAGCAGCAGCAGTCTGGCCGCGGCATGGCTTTCAGGATTAAAGCCAGCTTATAGCGGGGCATGCCTGGAGGCTCGATGCGTGCGGCTCGGAAGCGAGCTGGTTCCCAGGACGCGAAGGGGCGGGATGGCAGGGATGGCGGGGACCTGGAGGTGGCCGGGCCTGACGTCTCCTGGGCGGCAAAAGCATGCTTCAGCTGCATGAGCCTGGGCCCCCTCATGCATGAGTCTGTTTCTGATGACAGCTTGTCACTTGCAAATGTACTTTTTCTTTTCTTTTTTTTTTTTGTATGCATTGTAATTTTTATTGAAAGCTGTACATCGTATGTAGCATAGTATAGACAAAGGCAAATAGATTTTATGCCTGGAAACGAGTCTCCCTTTCTTTCCTTTTTCGTTTCTTTTCCTTTCTCACTTTTGTTCTTGTTGCCCAGGCTGGAATGCAGTAGTGGCACAATCTTGGCTCACTGCAACCTCCATCTCCTGGGTTCAAGTGATTCTCCTACCTCAGCCTCCTGAGTAGCTGGGATTACAGGCGTGCCCCACCACGCCCAGCTAATTTTTTGTATTTTTAGTAGAGACGGGGTTTCCTCATGTTGGCCAGGTTGTTCTCGAACTCCTGACCTCAGGTGATCCACCCGTCTTGACCTCCCAAAGTGCAGGGATTACAGGCATGAGCCACCACGCCTGGCCACGAGTCTTCCTTTATTTATGCTAAGAGTTTGAGTATAATTTTGAGTTAGGTTTCGTTTGAGGTTTATTTCTCCCAGGAAATTTCTCCCAAGAAATTGTCCCAAGGAAGGGCAAACTTAGAAGGGATTCACATATTGTTGAAGATGTAGTTCAGCCTACTGAATAGAAAAGATGCTTACTGGTTTGGCTACACCAGGCTAGGGCTGGTTCGTAGTCACTGGACAAGCAGTTAGCATCTTCTGTGCAGGTGGGGGAGCAAATCAGCAAGCAGAAGAGTGGGTACACAGTGGGCTTGCAAAGAGTGTGGGGTCCCTCTGTGCATGGACAGACTGTACATGGTGGTGGGCAATTTGCAGGAGCAGCAGCCTGGTGCGAACCCTCTAACCACAGGCAGGCTGTGTACAAGGTTTTACAGAGGAAGTCAGAGTCCTAGTGGGTGGACAGGAGGCCTTTGAACACTCGTTTGCATGTTGAGAAGGCCATGGAAAGGTTATTGGTAGGCTAAGACTGCAAGGTTGCAGAGAGAGAGTGTTCTGGACCCATGGCTGAGAATACTGGGTATCCTTACGCTCATATTGCTGGTTCCCAAGTTGCAGCCAGAAACTGCAGGCGTACATCTTCCTTCTGCAGTGTCCTTCCAGTGCCTTTTACAGAGAAAGGTTAATATCATGCTTACTTTAAAGGAGAGAGATATCTAAAGAGATTTTTCTTTTTTTTCTTAAATCACAGAACATAATTGAAGGATGCTTTTGGATCTGAGAGTCAATAAATTGATAACTGAGACAGATGGAGATATTGGATGACAGATAGTAAGCAGTCAGTGTTGACTTAAGTTAGCTGGAAGTCCCACCACATTTTACATTTCTGTACCTTTTATTTTATTAAACCTTTATTTTTCTTTTATTGAACCTTTATTTGGAATCGCTGTTCCTTGGTACTTAAAATCTTTTCTTCCACACAGCCTTTCAAACATTTATCTTGCTCAGGGCACCCTCTGCTATAATCTTGACCATAACTTTATGATTACCAATCACTGACAGCCCCTTTATAATCTTATTTTCAGGTACCTCTCTTTTCTCACACCATCTCATACCCATAACGTGACTTGGAAAATACTTGAAGCACAGTAGCATCTCTAATTTATTGATACTGCTACCTTCACATTATCTTCCAGATTCTTTGTATTCATTTTTCCCGAATCAGTTTCTTGGCTCCATCATTATGTTGACACTGCTGTGGGATGAAAACTCGAAGCCCAGGTCTTCAGACTCTAGATTCAGATTCCGGTATACTAGATATGACAAACAGTTTTAACACTTAAGCCAATTCTGTTCAGTTATATTTTGCTGTGCGCAAAGGCCATTGATAGTGTCTGCCTCAAGCAATATATTAAGTTTATGGAATTATGTACAGGTTTAGCAAGAAAAAGTGAATATCTAAGTATCTGCCACGTACACATATTTCTCCCTGTAGCCATGTTTGTTTCAAAGCATCTTAAAAATCAGTTGTGATTGACAGCCTGTAGAATGGGAGAAAATATCTGCAAACTATTCACCTGACGGGATTAAAAACCAGGCTATATAAGGAATTCAACTCAACTGCAGAAAAACAAATACTATGATTTAAAAAATGGGCAAATGATCTGAATAGACATTTCTCAAAAGATGACATACAGATGGTCAACAGGTACATGAAAAAATGCTAAGCATCACTAATCATCAGGGAAATGCTAACCAAAACCATAATGAGATATCATCTCACCCTGGTTAAAGTGGCTACTATAAAAAAGACAGAAAATGACAAATGCTGGTGGATGCAGAGAAAGGGGAACACTTGAACCCTGTTGGTGGGAATGTAAATTAGTACAGCCATTATGGAAAACAGTATGGAGGTTCCTCAAAAAATTAAAAGAGCTGCCATATACCCAGCAATTCTCACAGCTGGGTATATATTCAAAATATGGGAAATCAGTATTTTGAAGTGATATCTGCACCCCTATGCTTATTGCAGTACTGTTCACAGTAGCCAAGATATGGAATCAACCTAAGTGTTCATCAAAGGATGAATGAATTAAAGAAAATGCAATACACACACACACACAATGGAATATCATTCAGCCATAAAAAGAATGAAATCCTATTATTTACAGCAACATGGGTAGAACGGGAGGACATTATGTTAAATAAAACATCAGGCACAGAAAGACAAATATTGTATGTTCTTATATGTGAGAGCTTAAAAAGGTTGATCTCATTGAGGTAGTGAACAGAATGGTGGTAACCAGAGGCTGGAAGGGTGGTAGGGAGCGGGGGATGAAGAGAGGTTGGTTTATGTGTACAAAAGTAGATAGAAGGAATAAGTTCTGATGTTCTGTAGCACAATAGACTGACTATGATTAACAATAATTTATTGTATATTTTTAAATAGCTAGATTTGGAGTGTCCCCAACACAAATAAATGATAAATGTTTGAGGTGATGGTTATCCCAATTACCCAGATTTTATCATTGTACATTGTATGCTTGTATCAAAATATCCCATGTACTCCATAAATATATACGGCTATTATATATCCATAAAATGAAGAAAAAGAATTAGGTCGGAAACCATAGGCAAACCCTCTTATCACATATGTGACACACGGCCCTCAATATTAAAAAAATATCAGTTGTGATCACTAGTAGAATGTTGAAGTAGCAAATTTAGGTTTTGGTTTTAGACAAAGGTAATTGGCATTCGATAACATCTCTATTTCCATCACCTGCTGTGATATTTTATAAAGCTAGTAAATAATTCCAAAATGAATTTATCTCATTCTCTTATTATGAATGAATTCAAATATTATGTTGAGTCCCTTACTGTGTGCTAGCACTGTTTTAGGCACAGGGGATGTGGCAGTGAACAAGACAAAGAAAATCCACAGTCTTATTGGATTTTATATTTTTGAGTAGATGGGAGTCAGATAATCTGCAGAAGTAAATTTATAAATATACAGTGTAATTTTATAATATGATAAATGCCACGAAGAAAACCAAATAGAATAATAGAATAGCATGACTAAAGATATAGAGGGGGTTATTTTATATTGTAGAGTCAGGTAGGGTTATTTTATGGGGTAGCATTTTAGCTGAAATGTGAGAACGAGGAGCCAGCCAGGTGAAAACAGAAGGAAAAGCAAACACAAAGGCCCTGAGGTGAGAGCAAATGTGTTGGAAAAAGAGATAGAAATCTAATGTGGCTAGAATATAGTGAGCAAAGGAGTGTGCCTAGAGGAGAAGACCAAGCAGAGGTAGGGGTCTGGTTTTATAGGACTTTGTAGACAAGAATTTTGTGTGTGGCAAGAATATTTTAGTTTGATAATTCATAATCCAAAAATGATTTTTTCAGTAATGCATGTAGTATTAAAATATATGCTTAAGAATGATCTAAAATTATACTGGTTTGGATTACAAAATGGTTTTCTCTTAATATAGACCTCAAATGGCAAGCTAAAAGCTAATTATTGTTTCAAGGAAATAATTACCCAGACCCTTGACTCTTTTTCTTGGTATCTACCTACCTCCCTTACACCATTTGGGCTGCATCAACCTAGGAACTCAAAATCTAGAGTTTTTACATGAGAATGAAAGTATTGGTTTTAGTTAGTCAACATGAAAGGGTCAGTACTCCTAGTTAGTGAGGATCCAACACTCCTGCTTAGGGTAATGACTCTTAATATACTTACAGTATAACAGAGTCTTAAAGTTTTTGTTCAGTAAGGAGAAATAAAGTTCAGAATTCCAAGTAAGTTAGAAAGTATAATGAGGCCCTTGCATTCCTGGTCAGTCAGGAAGTGTAACAGAGTCCAAAACTCTTAGTTTGGAAATGTAATGATCCAGCATTCTTAGTCAGGAAGTATAACAGTCCAGCACTTAGGCAGCTATTGCTTAGCAACTGGTATGAAGGTTTATGGAAAGGAAACAAACTGATGGTTAAAGTGAAGTTTTGGAATCATTAATTTATTCAGGCCATGCTTTTAATTGATCTCCTTAAAATTTTATGCCCCATATGTGGGTTTTTCTTTTTACCTTAATAACTTAAAAAAAATTTTACTATCTGGCTTTTTATTTTTTACAATTATCTTCATTTCTTGCCATGTTAACAGATTGGCTACTTCAAAATGTTGTTTTTCAGATAACTTCATATCTTTCTTTTCTTTGCTAGTCAAAGGCCTAGGCCTTTATCTTCCTTTTTGCTACAACCCTAAAGGCAAAGAAAGAAAGGGAAAAAAAAGCTTGGTTTATCCTGTATTTCTTCTGAGTTTACTAATATTAATTATTTTTTCAATGTATTTTGTTTTAATGCATGAATATACATGGATATTATTGAAAAATTTAAAACTATATGGAAACACAAAGGAGAAAGTCACCATCTTACACTACAACTTTTGGCACTTTGGTATGTTTCCTTCTAGTCTTTTTTTTCTTCCTGGGATCTATATATAAGCATGTGTACATACATACCAATTTTTCTTAAACTCTTTTGGGTCACAAATATCTTAAAAATTTTGAAGCCTATAGATGAGAGAAAATACGTAAATGTTGAAGACAAAATTTTATATATATGTGTCAAGGGCATTTAGGAATCAGTCATCAGCAAGGATCTTTTTCATTCGTTATCATGTGCTGTTGTTGAAACTTCTTTTAAATCTTTTTCTTACTGCTGTAGTGGAGCCATTGCTGCGCCACATCTTTGGCCATAGTAGTGCTATAGTTGGGATGTAAGATTACTGTTACCACTCTTACAGTTTGTGTTCACTATTAACTATTTTTATCAAATAATAGCATTCATGTGTGAAGTGGCTGGGTCCTGATGGACTTCCAGACTCAGTAGTATGTGGCATCAGTACCAGTCTTAACTTCAGTAACCCATATGATCATTTTTTTCTTGACCGAGTGGTATTTCATTATAGGATATAATTTATTTAATTAATCATCTATTAATATAAATTTAGGCTCTGTAATTTTTCTTTACCATAAGTAAAACAATGATGTAATAAATACCCTTATATTTACTTGTCTGACAATTTTCTTGGGATAAATTCCTAAAAGTGAAATTGCTTAGTCAAATTTGATATCAATTGCCTGATTGGGCCTGAGAAGTATACCAATTTATAGATAACAGTGTGGTCTTTGCTAACACTAGGCATTATGGAATACTTTTATTAGTTATAGTGTTTATAAAGTGAAATACATAAATCTAAAGTATATAGTTAGATGTATTTTGACAGTTCTATATGTCTGTGTATTTAATACCTTTAGCAGTGTATAGAACATTTCCATTGTCACAGAAAGATTCCTTATAAATCTTCCTGTGTTCTTATTGGCCATCTATTTTTTTCCTTTGGTGAAGTATCTATTAAAATCTTTTGTGCATTATATTTGGATTTTCTTCTTATTATTGAGTTATAGAAGTTCTTTATATATTGTGGGTACTAGTCTTTTGTCACGTATTTGTAGAATAAACACATTTTTGGTATGTGGCCGGCCATTTCATTTTCTTAGTGGGGTCTTTTGACAGTCAAAGGTTTTAACTTGAATAAAATTCAATTTATGAATTATTTTATTGTTTATGCTTTCGTATCCTCTGTGGGAAATCCTTTCCTTAACCAAGGCCATAAAGATTTTTTCCTATGTTTTCTTCTAGAAATTTTACAGTTTTTAGCTTTTATGTTAAGGTATATGATACATTTTGAGGTAATTTTTGTGTATGGTGTGAGTGTAGGTTTGAAGTTTTTTTATTTTATTTTTTTCTGCCAAATGGATACTCACTTGTTTTAGCACCAGTTTTGAAAAGCTTATTCCTTCCTTATTAAATTGCCTTGTCCCTTATTGAACATCAGTTAGATTTACAGAGATATTATGCTATGGCTTTGAGGAATGGGTTTGTTCATAGTATTGAAGTATAAGCAGTCAGGATCTAGGCTTTGTATGTTTGGAAGTTGATTAAATTTGAAAAGCCTTAGCTTTTTGAAATTCTTTTTCTTTTATTCTTGTTCAAGTATCTTGGGATGGCTGTAGTAGAATGTGATTTGTAATGTATTTGTTTTCAGTGTGGCATGTCCAGATATTTTTCTTTCTTCTTTTTCAATTACTAGTTTTTGTCCAACTGTTTTCTGGTATTGAAGATTAAACAGGTTCGTTAGCCATCTTGATACAAGTATTATAAGGACCTGACAGGTCATAAGTCTCCTTGTGTAGAACACCTCACTCTTGCTTCCTGTGAAAGCATAAAATGTTAGAATTAGCAAAATCTGATCAACAGTATTTAGGCCCTTTCTTTATTGCTTTTACTTACTGACATCTTTTTCTCTTGTCAGGCTATTATTAGTGATCATGGCCTTATGAAATTCTGGTTGAATAAAGCACCTGGAGAAATAGTAATTTATAAATATGAAATGCGACTAAAGTCTATTAATACCAGACTTCTTTGCATATCAAACAAATATTGTGAATTTTTAGCGGGAGTATGTGAACTTGGAGTGTGTGACCATTTGCTTGGTGTTGGGGTCATTGTAAACTAATGCAACCAAATGCATCTCATAAGTAGGCAGTAGCTTGATTTTTTTCTTGTTTGTAAAAATAATAGTAGAAATGAAATGAACTCCTTTTTTTTTCTGCTTTTCTTGCACAGTTGCCAACAAAATATGCAGTCATTAAGCAAGCAGCAGGGTAATAAATATAATAAACATATATTTATTTTTATGAAGAAAACTTCTCTGCTTCTTGCAGTAGAATTCTTTGTGCTCTGATCACATCAAAAAAAGCAGTACCTGAGGTCATAGGTGTGCCTGGTAGCACAGTTAAGTTGGATATTTTCCCCCTTGTGTTTTTGTCACAAACATTGATCTTAGGGGTTTATAATTTGGTAGTGAATACTGGAAACATATATTCAGCTTCCAGTGTTAGTGTATAAAGAACACCATCTGATGGATTGGCCAGAGTTGAATTTGAATCTGATTTGGATACTTTTATTGTTACAATTTTGAAAGAGTTATTACTAAATCTGATAGTAATAGTGATGTGTTCTTTATAGTTATCACATTTAAGGAGTTTTCAAAATAAAATCCTCTGCATGTTATTTCTCTGAGAGAAAATTACATTATTTAGAATGTTTATATTTGCAAAACCCAGTAACATCTGTGGGAGCAGCTGGTTGTCACAGATATTTTCTATAGAAATTGCAGAATAATGTGTATTTATAATTTATAATTTAATTTTTATAATTATATAAAATATATATATTTTTAATTTATAATTCTACATGTAAAATTATGTTAATGTAAAATTATATATATAACAAAACATAGCTTATATTTATATATAATTATATATTTGTAATTTACAATTTTACATTAACATGTAAAATTATATTTACATTAACATGTAAAATTAAAAGTAATGTAAAATTTTATATTAACATGTAAAATTATAAGTTAATGTAATATATGTTAATACTATAGTTTACATGAGTTTCATAGGATAAAATTTTTTGTTAAACAATTCAGAGCTTTGAAAATATCAGTTGATGAATATCCTCAAGTATAGATTCTTCATTTTATTTTATTTTTTAAAGAAACATCCACCATCTGATGGTATCTGCAGGCTTTACCCCAGATGGTTCAGCCCATAAAACCATCCTGTTGTGATATACCAAAATATGTTTAAAAAGCTGTGCATGCCTTTATGATTTGATTTTTTTTTAAGGGATGATAGAGGTGCTTTATGTTTTTAAGGGACACATTGTATAAAGGAGCATCCAGCCAGGCGCGGTGGCTCACGCCTGTAATCCCAGCACTTTGGGAGGCCGAGGCGGGCCGATCACAAGGTCAGGAGATGGAGACCATCCTGGCTAACACGGTGAAACCCCGTCTCTGCTAAAAATACAAAAAATTAGCTGGGCATGGTGTCACACGCCTGTAGTCCCAGCTGCTCAGGAGGCTGAGGCAGGAGAATCACTTGAACTCAGGAGGCAGAGGTTGCAGTGAGCTGAGGTCACGCCACTGCACTCCAGCCTGGGTGACAGAGTGAGACTCTGTCTCAAAAAAAAAAAAAAGGAGCTTCCCCTTTCCCAACCCTATCTTTTACTATTTTCATAAAGTTGAGGTCTGAATTTACTTTCCAGATTGGGTATGTATTTGGTACAAACTTTATAGGTCAATGTTAGATCTAGTAATTATCCTTCAATTGTTGTCTTTGAGTTTATACAATAGAAGTTACTTGACTAGCGTTTTACTCTTTTTGTAGAAAACATATAATCCATATTCAAATCAACATTTAAAAATATTTGTAAAGAAAGAAATCCCTTATGTAGTATTCTTGCCAAAAATATTTAACTGAATCTAATCATGAGGAAGCAACCAGGCACGTCGAAATTGGAGGTTATTCTATAAAATAGTTTAAAATTGTTAGTGGCATGTAAAGCAAACAAAAAGGTGGGGAAGTTGTTCCAGATTCAAGAAGACCAAGAGAAAAGACAACTAAATACAACAATGCGTGATCCCCAAGTAGATCTAGATCCAAAACAAGAACAAGAAACATAACATATGGCCGGGCACGGTGGCTCACGCCTGTAATCCCAGCACTTTGGGAGGCCAAGATGGGCAGATCACGAGGTCAGGAGATCAAGACCATCCTGGCTAACACAGTGAAACCCATCTTTACTAAAAATACAAAAAATTAGCTGGGCATGGTGGCGGGTGCCTGTAGTCCCAGCTACTCGGGAGGCTGAGGCAGGAGAATGGCGTGAACCTGGGATGCAGAGCTTGCAGTGAGCCGAGATCACACCACTGCACTCCAGCCTGGGCGACAGAGCAAGACTCCATCTCAAAAAAAAAAAAAAAAAAAAAAAAGAAACATAACATACACTTGTAAGAGACAATTGGAAGAGTTGGAAGAATTCAAATATGTACTATTTTGTAGTTGCAATATAGAGTCAATATTAATTTTTTTGACTTTGATAATGATATTGTGGTTATAAAGAGAATATCCTTATTCTTAAGATTAAATGCTGGGACAGAGTGTCATAATGCTTGCAATTTACTTTCTTTTAAAATTGTTTTATTTTTAATTGACACATAATAATTGTGTATGTTTATAAGGTTGCAATTTACCTTCAAATGTGAAAGAAATGGTATATGTATTTGGCCAGAAAGGATGAAAGTAAACTTGTCAGAGTATTAACAATTATTGAATCCATGTGAAAGGTACATTGATGTTCATTGTACTTTTCTTTCAAGTTTTCTCTAGATGGAAATTTTTTTAAAAAGCTGGGGACAAAATCTCCACAAAGAATAAACTGTAATATTAGGACAGTGCAACTTACTATTTTGGTCCAATTTTTGTCCCTAACATTACCATTTGTAAGAGATTATTGAATATATGTTCAATACTTATTTATTATTTTGTTTCCTACAGTTTAATAATGCTACTCCATGATTTTAGAATGTTTTACAGTTTACAAAACATGGCTGGGCATGGTGACTCATGCTATTATACCCAGCACTTTGGGAGGCTGAGGTGGGAGGATTGCCTGAGCCCAGGAGTTCAAAGTTAAAGTGAGCTATGATCACATCACTGCACTCCAGCCTGGACAACAGAATGAGACCCTGTCTAAAAAAAAAAAAAAAAAAACAGAAACAAAAAACAAAAACACACACACACAAAATCCCCAAAAAACTACATACAGAGAGAGTATTTATGTACATCCTATTTCTGTTTTGTGAAATAGATGAGATAGGTGGTATTTTCCTCACTTTACAAATGAACAGTGTGTTTTAGAGAAATATTCCCAAGATCATAGCCAGCTACTTTTGTGCCCAGACTTCCCTCCTAAGCCTTGCAGTCTTCCCTGTATCAACCTTGATGTCCCACAGATTATTTTAAATGCAGTGTACCACAAAATTGTTCCTTTTTTCCTCTTTAGATTATTCCTTGGTAATGGTGCCTTGATCTACCCAAATAGACCAGTCGCATATCTGGAAGCCATCCTACAATTACTATACTCTTACCTAATTGGCTCTAGGGGGAGAAGAAATGGGGAAGAGAAGTAATGTTTTTCAAGTACATATTTAATATCTGGTTCTATGTGTTCGATGATTTTCATGAATCTTATTAAATTCTTTCAGCAGCTACCGTGTTTAGATGGTGTCTCCAATTTTACAGTTTCATAATAGAGATTTGGAAATAGGCTTAACAAGGTTAAGTGATTTTTTTTTTTTTTTTTTTTTTTTTGAGATGGAGTCTTGCTTTGTCATCCAGGCTGGAGTGCAGTGGCGCAATGTCGGCTCACTGCAACCCCCGCCTCCTGGGTTCAAGCGATTCTCCTGCCTCAGCCTCCTGTTAAATGATTTGTTCTAAGTTGCAAAGCTCATAGACAGTGACTAGGGGATTTGAATTTAGGTCTTAAACTTTCTAAAGTCTGCATTCTTTACAATGTACATAAGCAAATTTCTCTTAAATCTTTCTCTTAACTTTTTATAACACTACCATTGCTTAAGTCTCAGTTTGGATTACTGGAAGAGCCTACCTACTCAGTTTTTCAGTATTCAACCTTATTTCCTTTAGTTAAGCTTCTGTGCTGTTGACAGAGTGATCTTTCTAAAATCCCACTCTGGTCGTAGTGCTTCTCTTCATTGATAGAATGAAAATGGCAAATAAAGCACTTCATATAATCCAGTTCTTGCCTTCTTTTCTCATCTTCACATACTTCCTCACATCTGTGCTACTCTTCAGCCACACTGAAAAATGGAATTAAAGCTTTAGTCTGTCATAACTGCTTGCCCTTATTATTGTTACTACCCTAGTCTTTCTTTCTTTGCTGTGTTATCTGTTGCATTCATTATTCAAGACTCCAAAGAGTAAGTTCCTATAGGAAGTCTTTATAATGCCTTCACTGGCTGTATTAGGTATTTTTTCTTTGCCGTGTGCATACATCTGTTATAGAACTACATTATAACTATTTGTTTTCATGCCTTTTGCTGTAATACTGTGAATTCCTTGAAAGTCACACCTCACAGATTTTCAGTGTTCAGTAAATGTTTATTACTGAATGGAGATTAGTGAACCTCCTTCTAATCCCCACACTATGAATATACTTTTCCTTAGGGAGGCTAACATATATCAGTTTTTCCATAGAGGTTGTTGTGACTTTTATATTTATTTGCTTTGTTCATCCTGAGTATTGGAATAGTAATTAGGGGACCTGATTTCTAGTTTTGGCTCTGCCACTTATTTGCCATACTTTCTTAGGCAAGTTACTGTAATTTGGCCTTGGTCTCTTGGCCTCAATTATCTCATCCATTTAATAGCAGGTTGAATTAAGTGTTTCCTGACCTCTTACCTGTCTTTCCCAATGACTCTGATTTTCTTGGGAAGGGTTTTGAGCAGAGAGATGACATGTTGGTAGTGGTCTTACGAGTTTCACTTTGACAGAATGTGTAGGATGTGTTGGAAGGGTGTATTAGTCCATTCTTGCATTGCTATAAAGAACTAACTGAGATGGGGTAATTTATAAAGAAACGAAATTTAATTGGCTTACAGTTCTGCAGGCCGTACAGGAAACATGGCTGGGGAGGCCTCAGGAAACTTACAGTCATGGTGGAAGGAAAACAAAGGGGAAGCAGGCACGTCCTACATGGCTGGCGCCAGGAGGAAGAGGGCGAAGCGGGGGTGCTACACCCTTTTAAACAACCAGATCTCCTGAGAACTCACTATCATGAGAACAGCAAGGGGGAAATCCGCCCGATGATCCAGTCGCCTGCCACCAGGCCCTTCCTCTAACATTGTGGATTACAATTTGACATGAGATTTGGGCAAGGACATAAATCCAAACCATATCAAAGGGGATAAACCAGATGAATGCAGAGAGACCAGTTAAGAGAGTAATGTGGTTTCATGAGCGCCTGGAATGTGATCAATATTTGGAAAAGGAGAAATAATTGTGAAAGAAACTTTACAATTTGAGATGGTAAGGGCAGATGTGGTATCACAGAAAGATATCTGGTCTTTGTCCCTGAGTTTTGGCACAGAGGTCTTAAAACCCTTGGAATTTCCTGAGCCATAAGGGTAATAAAAGTGTCTTTTGTTCTAATGAGTCTACTCTTGGTGGGCCTCTAGATAGCTTCAGGATGGGGGCTAGTTGCCAGGAAGAACAAGCCTTGATTAGAAGCTTGGAACTTTCAGCATGACCTCCCCAACCTCTGGGGAGAGGACAGGGGATAGAGATTAAGTTGATCACCAGTGGCTAATGATAATCAATTGTGCCTATGTAATGAAACCTCCATAAAACCCCTAAACAACAGGATTTGGAGAGCTTCCAGATTGGTGAATGCAGTGAGGTGCTGAGATGTTGGCATACCTGGAGAGTGCATAGAAGCACTGTCTCCCACACACCCGCCCCCACACACCTTACCACCCTGTGTATCTTTTCCATTTGGCTGTTCCTGAGTTCTTTTTTTTTTTTATAATAAGCCTGTAATGGTAAGGAAAAAGCATTTTCCTGAGTTCTGTGAGTACTAGCCAAATATCAGACCTCAGGAGGGGGTTGTGGAGACTTCAAATTTGTAGCCAAGATGGACTGCATTGTGGGTAACCAGGGGACCTAATACTTGCAATTGGCATTTGAAGTGAGGGCAATCTTGTGGACTTTTAAACCTACGGAGTCTGACACTAACTCTGGGTAGTTAGTGTCAGAATAGAATTGAATTGTTGGAGACCCAGTTGGTGTTCAGAGGATTGGAGAATTTTAAAGTTGATGTCAGAATTGGTTGGTGTAAGGGGGAAAAAAAGGCCATAACAGCATGGTAGAGTGATTGTCTTCTCTGCAGATCCTGTCTTCGCTGCAAAAAAGGACTCCAAGATTTGAAGCCTATGTTGACTTAAACAGAGAATTAGGTATTCTATTTTGAGAGAAATAAATAGCTTAATTTTTTTTTATTTCTGCCTTAGCTTCAAAAGAGGATGCAAAGAAATGGAACTTTATAACTAGAGACATAGTTATTTTCAGATTTACACAGAAAATGTTATTTTCCCACATGGGGAAACAGCTCCCTAAAACACACAGAAAGAGGATTATCAGTCAGAAACAGCATAAAGACAGGGAAAAGAGGTGGAGAACCTTCAGTAAAAACAAATAACTATCCTTACTTGCTCATCATTTTCCAAGGTTGTAAAGTTTTGGTTTTGAGGATTTTCTTCACTTGGACTTAACACTGTGAGGAAGGTGGTCTTCTTAATATTATTGAAATTGCACACTTTAAATTTAGTGTTTGTCAAACTCTCATATATGTTAAACAGGGAGCTTTAGAAAACATCTTTACTGTACTCTGAGGGTGCTATTGGCACTTACTAGCCCAGGCAATCAAGAGAGCTAGAAATCTTTCTTTATCAAAGTTGATACTAAGTCTGGGAAGTGCTGAGTGACCAATTTGTTCCTGTTGCTACTGCTGGATTCTGTGCCAGTACTGGACAGTGGTAACAACTGTTGAGGCTGCTGGTGCTAATGTCTTTTCTGCTAGTAGTCCTCTAAATCAGCAGTCCCCAACCTTTTTAGCACCTGGGACTGGTTTTATAGACAACAGTTTTTCTGCGGACTGGAGTAGAGGATGGTTTTGGGATGATTCAAGCTCATTACATTTATTCTCCACTTTATTTCTGTTATTGCATTGTAATGTATAATGAAATAATTATACAACTCACCATGATGTAGAATCAGTGGGAACCCTGAACTTATTTTCCTGCAACTAGATGGTCCCATCTGGGGGTGATAGGAGACAGTGACAGATCATCAGGCATTAGATTCTCATAAGGAGCACACAGCCTAGATCCCTCGCATGCACAGTTCATAATAGGGTTCATGCTCTTGTGAAACTCTATTGCTCCTGCTCATCTGACGAGAGGCGGAGCTCAGGTGGTAATATGAGTGATGGGGAGTGGCTCACATTACCACCCTTCACAGGGCCTTCTCTGTGTCTCAGTCCTTTTTTTTTTTTTTTTTTTGTCTCTGATAAGGATACTCTTATGGGTTCTAGGATCTACCATAATCCAACATTATGTAATCCCAATCCTTACTTTAATTCCATCTGCAAAGATCCTGTTTCCAAGTAAGGCTCACATTTTTAGAAAAAGACATGAATTTTTTAGACACACTATTCAACCCACTATAGGAAGCTACTAGCAATTAGATAAAACTCTTATTAGTAGGGGTCTTGTTTTCTCTTGATCATATTCATTCATTTGCTCAACAGACATTTAAAGAAACCCAACACTGTACAAGGGGACGGTGTAGAGAAAGACGGCAGATATATTCTTTGCTCTTAAGGAGCTCCCAGTGTCACTGGAAGGCAGATGTAGACACCAGTATCTGCAGTACAATATGACAGGCTGGGCATGGTGCTGTAGGAATACAGAAGACAGATTCTATATTTGTTCTGGAGGGGCCTAAAGTTGCACATTTAAATCTTGAGGAAAGACAGGGAATTTGCTGAAAAAGCTAATATCAAGTGTAAAGACACTGGGTCAAAAGAGAGTAGCTTAGGAAGTCATAGGTTCTTAAGTGCTGCTGGATCACGGAGTGCACTTAAAGAGTGCATTAAAGATCTATTACTGTGTAAATAGTGATTTAAATTCTCAGCTAATTATTTGTTAATTAGGAACTTTAAAAAAAAAATCCCTGCTTTGTCTACTGACTCAATTCACCTTTAGCATATGTTGAATTTTTCTATATACTATGGTTTCTTTGGGGCTATTCCTTTGTTGTTTTTGTGATTTTTAAAAATCTGTTTTTGAACTAGATTCAAATGGTTTTCCTTAATGTAGCTTTATAATGTTTACTTACAAATGATGGGTCAAGTATATTTTCATTATACTCTTTTACAAAAATGTTTTGGTGGTTTTCAAGTTTTTTTCTTCCAAATGGGTTTAGGTTACAAAAAAGATTCTGTTGATATTACTTCTAGAATTTCTTTATTCTTATAAGTTCATTTGGGATCAGTTGGCATCATTTCAGTAGTCTTTGCAGTCTGGAATAACTTCTCATTTTTTTCAACATTCCTTTTTATGTTCTTCAGTAAAGTTTTAAATGTGTTTATTTTTTATTTTAAAATGAGATGGGAAGCCATTGGAGTTGGTAAAAAAAAAAAAAAAATTGAGCACTGGAGGAAGCCACAGTATACACTGGCTAATCTATTTGATAAACTAATAACAAATTCTATTCAGATTACAAAATATAGGTTGGTAAAACTTGGAAATGTTTATAGAAGATGTATTAGTTGCTGAGATGGTCAGTCTGTATTGATCTAATGGTCAATTTGAATTAACTCTAATAACTATCATAGAAAGTTTATAAGAACAACCTTTTTCCCAATGTCTCTGTATCTTAAATGATACCCTGTGGTGCTGGGCGCAATGGCTCACGCCTGTAATCCCAGCACTTTGGGAGGCTGAGGTGGGCAGATCACTTGAGGTCAGGAGTTTGAGACCAGCCTGGCCAACATGGTGAAACTCCATCTCTACCAAAAATTAGTTGGACATGGTGGCACGTGCCTGTAGTCCCAGCTACACTGGAGGCTGAGGCAGCAGAATCGCTTGAATCCAGGAGGTGGAGGTTGCAGTGAGCCAAGATCATGCCACTGCACTCCACCTTGGGCAACACAGCAAGACTCTGTCTCAAAAAAACCAAAAAGACCCAAAAAACAAAAACAAAAAGAAGCAAGAATGATACCTTGGGGGTCATGAAGAGAGAGTTAGACATACTGTGTTAATCTAGATGTCTCTGATGTAGATGCAGTTCTCTTCCATCAGCCCACCTGAACCTAAAAGGGACATAGCAAGACAACAAGGTTTAGGTGGTACCTGCATGCCAGATTCTAATTACCAAACCATTATTTCTTTTGTAACCTCACAATTTCTTTCAAACTAGTAGTGCTTTTTGATTTACAATGATATTTTTCTTATTCTTCTCACTTGCAAAAGCAGTTTGGCTCATGACGTTTAAACAACTGGAATGCTGGCTCTTGATTTGTCAATAATTGGCAACTCAGTTACAGGATATAATGTCAGCTGTCCAGATTTAGAAGAAACAAGTGGAATAGGAAAAAAGAGAAGGGTGTGTAGGTAGTTTCTTGTTTTCCTGATGTTTCCACTAAGTACAGAAAGCTCTGAAAGAGAAATGGACTTTTGGGAAGGGGTGTTACCTTTGACTGCCTTTAATCCTGAGTTGCAGTCTCAGCTTCCTACTTTGGCACACATGCCTGTTTTCCTTTTGTGGAATGTGTTAAGGAAGGCAGCAGATGGTTGTCAACACTGTTGAGGTTAGACTCTAATGAGAGGTCACTTTGTTGGGGGTGAATTGATTTATAGTTTACAGTACATTCTGTATTCATAGTAGGTGATACTGTGAAAGCAAAACTGTGAGATCTCATTAAAAAAGAAATGGAAGGATAATGCCTTTTTTGTTTATTTTACCCCACCACACAACAGACCCTTCAATTTGGCCTGGTACCATCATCTGCTTTGATTTTAAAATACAGCTCCTCACAGGAATGCCTCTCCCTTACCCACCCCTCACCACACTATGATTATATCACATTACTGCTTTCATGAAAGTGGTTGTCAGTACAACCTATCTCCTACTCTCTACTGGCAGAGTTTGAGAGTTCCAGTTGCTCTACATTCTTGCCACTCACTACCTGTCAGCCTTTTTAGCTTTTAATCCATTATTTTGAGCTTAGAGGCATTTCATTGTGGTTTTAAATTATACTTCCCAGATTATTAATAGCCATTTGGGGATGCTGTCTTGTGAGTGCCTATTCAAATCTTTTTCTTTTCTGTTGAACTGTGTGTCTTTTTCCTGTTGATTTACAAGAGTTTTTTATATTTTCTGGATAGAAGCTTTTTGTTGTGTGTTGCAGAGATCATCATCTATTCTGTGGCTTGTGTTTTTGCCCTTTTAATGAGTCTTTAATAAGCAAGAATAACTAATTTTAGTGTAGTTCAGTTTATTCTTTCCTTTATTGATTTTGTTCTTTTGGATCCTGTTTTCAAAGAAACCTGTCCACCTTCAGCTCATGAAGATGTTTTCCTGCGTTTCTTTTAGAAGCATTGTTTTTACCTTTTATATTTAATGTCGTAATTTATCGAAAGTTAATTTTGTGTTGGTATAAGAGAGCCTGAAGTTTGTTTTGTTTTTCTCATGGGGTATCCATTTAACCATCATTTATTGAAAAGACCCTTCTTGGCCGGGCGCGGTGGCTCAGGCCTGTAATCCCAGCACTTTGGAAGGCCAAGGTGGGCAGATCACGAGGTCAGGAGATCGAAAACATCCTGGTTAACACAGTGAAACCCCGTCTCTACTAAAAAATACAAAAAATTAGCCGGACGTGGTGGCGGGCGCCTGTAGTCCCAACTGCTTGGGAGGCTGAGGCAGGAGAATGGCGTGAACCCAGGAGGTGGAGCTTGCAGTGAGCCAAGATCGTGCCACTGCACTCCAGCCTGGGTGACAGACTGAGACTCCGTCTCAAAAAAAGAAAGAAAAAAAAAAAAAAAGAAAAGACCCTTTTTTCCCTACTTCTCTGCAGTGCCATCTTTGTCATAAATCAAGTATTCCTACCTGTATGGGACTGTTTCTGAATTCTCTAGTCTTTTATATTTGTTTATTTGTCTATACTTGCTTCATTCAGTACTACCCTGTTTTATTTATTAAAAGTCTTGATAACCTGGTAGTGTAGGTCTTTGAACTTTTTCTTTACTAAGATGGTCTTGGATATTCTTGGGTCTTTGTATCTTCACATATATTTACAGTCAAGTTATCAATTTCCTCAAAAAATATTCCAGGATTGTAATTGAGATCATATCAGATTTGAAGATGAATCTGGGAAGAATTAACATATTTACAGTATAAAGTCTTCAAATCTATGAACATAGAATATCCTTCCATTTATTGAACTTGTCTTTGTTTATCTCTTAGTACTCTTTTAGGCTCTCTGTCGTAATTATGTACATTTTTCTTTTGATATTGGTTTAGGTATTTTTAAGATATTCGTTAGATATTTTTATTCAGATATTTTATTTACGTATTTAGGTATTCTTTAAATAATCTTTAGGTATGTTTGGTGGAATTCATTAGTGAAGCTGTGTCTGGAATTTATTTATTTATTTATTTATTTATTTTTTAGTATTTATTGATCATTCTTGGGTGTTTCTCGGAGAGGGGGATGTGGCAGGGTCATAGGATAATAGTGGAGAGAAGGTCAGCAGATAAACACGTGAACAAAGGTCTCTGGTTTTCCTAGGCAGAGGTCCCTGCGGCCTTCCGCAGTGTTTGTGACCCTGGGTACTTGAGATTAGGGAGTGGTGATGACTCTTAAGGAGCATGCTGCCTTCAAGCATCTGTTTAACAAAGCACATCTTGCACCACCCTTAATCCATTTAACCCTGAGTTGACACAGCACATGTTTCAGAGGGCACGGAGTTGGGGGTAAGGTTATAGATTAACAGCCTCCCAAGGCAGAAGAATTTTTCTTAGTACAGAACAAAATGGAGTCTCCTATGTCTACTTCTTTCTACACAGACAAAGTAACAATCTGATCTCTCTTTCTTTTCCCCACATTTCCCCCTTTTCTTTTTGACAAAACCGCCATCGTCATCATGGCCCATTCTCGATGGTTGCTGTCTCTTTGGAGCTGTTGGGTACACCTCCCAGATGGGGTGGCCGGGCAGAGGCGCTCCTCACCTCCCAGACGGGGTGGCTGGGCAGAGGCGCTCCTCACCTCCCAGACGGGGCGGCCGGGCAGAGGCACTCCTCACATCCCAGACGATGGGCGGCCGGGCAGAGGCACTCCTCACCTCCCAGACGGGGCGGCCGGGCACAGGCGCTCCTCACTTCCCAGACGGGGCGGCTGGGCAGAGGCGCTCCTCACTTCCCAGACGGTGTCTGGAATTTTTTTGTGAGAAGGTTTTTAATTAAAGATTTGGTATCTTTAGTAGATATAAGACTAAACTGATTTTTCTATTTTTTCTTATGTCTTCACAGGTTGTATTTTGTTAAGAGTTTGTCTATCTAAATTTTCATATTTATTGGCATAAAGTTCATAATATTCTTTTATGATCTTTTAAATATCTGTGGGATTTGTACAGACTTTCCTCTTTTATTTCTAATACTGAACATGTGGATCCACTGCCTCTTTTTCTTGACTATGGCCAAGGGTGTATTAATTTTAGTAGTCTTAATAAAGATCCATTTTTTTTTTTTTTTTGAGACGGAGTCTCACTCTCTCCCAGGTGGCTCCAGTGCAGTGGCACGATCTTAGCTCACTGCAATCTCTGCCTCCCAGGTGCAAGTGATTCTCCTGCCTTGGCCTCCTGAGTAGCTGGGATGACAGGTGTGTGCCACTGTGCCCAGCTAATTTTTGTATTTTAGTAGAGACGGGGTTTCACCATGTTGGCTAAGCTGGTCTTGAACTCCAGATCTCAAGTGATCCACCCGCTTCAGCCTCCAAAAGTGCTGGGATTACAGGCATGAGCCACTGTGCCCAGCTTAAAGATCCAGTTTTTACTGGATTCTTTTTTATGGACTTTTGAGAATATTTGTGGCTTTCTCCACACAAGAAAGAGTATTTGTTTACTCTTTTTAAAATTTTTCGTATTTATCTTTACATTTAAATTCTTCTTTCTTTGGTTTTAATTTGCTTTCATTTTTGTAATTTATTGATATGAGTGCTTAGATCATTTCTTGAAGTCTTCATACTTAATATGTATCATTAAGGCTATACATTTCCACTCAAACATGGCTTTAGATGCATATCGTATGTTTTGCCATCATGTATTTTCATTATTAAACATTAATTTAAATATGGAATTTGTTTTAATTTCTTTTTTGACCCTGAGAGTTATTTTGAGGTATACTGCTTGATTTTCAAGTATAGAAGCATTCTCTATTTAACTTTTTAGTACTGTTTTCTAGCTTAACTCCACTTTGTTTAGAAAATGTACTATGTGATTTCAGTCCTTTGAAATTCATTGATATTTGCTTTATTGGTCAATACATACTGAAATTTTGGTAAATGTTTTTTGTACACATGAAAAGAATGCCTAGTCTGGATTTGTTAGATCCAGTTATCTTTGTTATTATGTCGGGTTTTTTTTGTGTTCAGGTATTCTATATTCTTTAGTAAGAATTTTGTTTTTTTCCCCTTCTCTATCAATTACTGGTAGATATACGTTAAAATCTCCCCTATGATTATGGAGTTTTCTATTTATTTTTTTAATTCTGTTTTGATCATGTGCTCATTAGGTATCTACAGATTTAGAGATGATACATATTCTGGGTAGAGTGACCCTTTTATCATTATGAAAAAGACCTCCCTCTTGCCTTAAAAGTCCTATGTCTTGTATTACATAGGACTTTGTAATATTTGTTGCATAGTTAGTAGATACAAAACTTTTGTTAGTATTTTCATGATATTTATTTTTCTAGTTTTGCAAACTTCATTTTAACATTTTTAGGTTTTTATATTTAAGGTTTGTCTCAGAAATATTTTTGGGCTTTTCCTCCCCAATTAAAGAAATTGACACATAATGTACATATTTATGGGTTGCATGTGGTATTTTGATACGTGTGTACAGTGTGTAATGATACAATCAGTAATCAGGATATCCATCACCTCAAACACTTATCATTTCTTTGTGTTGGGAGCATTCCAAATCTTCTCTTCTAGCTATTTTGAAATACACACTAAATTATTGTTAACTATAGTCACTCTGTTGTGTTATTGAATACTAGAAATTACTGCTTCTGTCTAACTGTATTTTTATACTAATTAACTAAACTCTCTTATCTCCCCTTTCTCCTACCCTTCCCAACCTCCCCTATCCCTCCCATCATTCTACTCTCTACTTTCATGAGATAAAATTTTTTTTAGCTCTGACATATGAATGAGAACATGTAATTTGTCTCCTTGTACCTGGCTTATTTCACTTAATATAATGTTCTTCATTTCTATCCATGTTGCTTCAAATGACATGATTTCATTCTCTTTTAAGGCTGAATCATATTCCATTGTGTATATGCACCATATGTTTTTAAATCTCTTCATCCACTGATAGGCATTTAGGTTGATTTCATATCTTGGCTGTTGTGAATAGTGCTGCAATAAACATAGGAGTGCAACTATCTCTTCTTTGGATGTATACCCTGCAGTGGAATTGCTACATCATACAGTAAATCTGTCTTTAGTTTTTTGAGGAACCTCTATATTGTTTTCCATAGTAGTTGTACTAATTTATATTCCCACCCACAATGTACAAGTGTTCCTTTTTTTTTCGCATTAATCAGTCAACTTTAAGTGCTATGGTTGATGCAAAGAAGAAATATAGGCGAGAAAAAGGATTAACATTATTATAAGGCAGACTATAGTATGTGCTAAATGAATGATCAGTATAATAACTATCTTCAAATAGGTTTTGGCAGTAAAAATTGAGAGAGGATGAGAATGATTGAGAAAGCTCACGTAATGGAGGAGAGACTTGAATTGGGCTTGGTGCCTACTGGAATGGATAAGCCTAGATGCTTTTAAAATAAATTAACTTGAATGTATAAACTTTTAAGCTAGTAGAAGAAATAGTTATTGTATTTAGCTTGTTAAAATAGTCATACATGCATATTTAAAAGTATATATTACTTTAGAAAATTTTTTATACTTGTTTTATGAAATGACATTATTTACACTCTTCATATGCATTTTAAAATTAGCCTTTCTCTTTACCAGATTTAGTCTCCTTTATAATTTTCCAGAACACATGATTTTAATTTTTACTTACATGGTTTTAAATAAAGCATTTTTTAAAAATCTAAGTATAATACCTTCCCTGGGAATTTTTATCTCCTGTCACAAGTAATCATTTGCTATTCATGAGCTTTCCAAGGAAACCCTTTCAATTGATCATTAATGGGACTATTTATATTGGGATCTAAAAGTTTTAATTGTGAGTCTGTACCCCCCAAATAATTATGAAATCTGTTTTTAATTTCTTTGCCATTCTTTTTAACTGTTTTCGCTGGGTAATCTCTTTTCAGTGTCCCAAACCGATATTCCTTGAAGTTGTTTTTCAGGATGTATGTCTTTTCCAGTTTTTTTTTTTATTGTTTTCAAAAATAAAGTAAGTAGAACAACTCATTGGTAAGGTAGTTTTCTCTTTTCTTTGGAACATTTTTGGGAAAAGAACTTTACCTTATGTTCACTGTTATGATCTAAAATGATGATAATGAGATGAAGAGGGAGTCAAGGATAACTGTGAGATTTTTGACCTGGCCAGATGGAAGAATGGAATTGCTATTTAATGAGGTATAGACACTTGCTGTATTCTGCTTAATATTGTAGATATTTTATGTGCTTATGTTATTCCTTCTGTGCTTATCTTATTCCTCCTTCTAGTTCCCCAGGGTTTGGGGCTGTGTTGTCCATGTATTATTCACAATACCCAGCACAGTTCTTTGTACCGAGTAATTGCCACCTACTTTCCTGAATTAAATTGATTTTAAATGTACAACAACCTCAAAATGTAGGCAGCTATATTCAGGGTTGCTGTTAACAAGGAAGAGTGTTTTCCTTCTGCTGCTGCTTGTAATATAAAGCAGATATAGCTTTATGGCTTTGTTCAACCATCCGATCCAAAAATCTTCCCTTGCATACTGCGGGATGTCTAACTCATAAACCCTTAAAACTGCTAGCCTTGGCCGGGCACGGTGCCTCAAGCCTGCAATCCCAACACTTTGGGAGGCCGAGGCGGGCAGATCACCTGAGGTCGGAAGTTGGAGACCAGCCTCACCAACGTGGAGAAACCCTGTCTCTACTAAAAATACAAAATTAGCTGGGTGTTGTGGTGCACACCTGTAACCCCAGCTTCTCAGGAGGCTGAGGTAGGAGAATCGCTTGAACCCGAGAGGCAGAGGTTGCAGTGAGCTGAGATCGTGCCATTGCACTCCAGCCTGGGCAACAAGAGCGAAACTGCGTCTCAAAAAAAAAAAAAAAAAGAAAGAAAGAAAGAAAGAAAGAAAGAAAAAACACCAAAAAAACTACTAGCCTTTAGACATTTCTGTTGCTTTTAGGTTTTAGCTCGCAAATTCAATCTGGGAAAGGACTATTAGTTGACAATCTTCCTTTCCTCTCCACATTTCATTGAATAGAGAAGGCAGTTATACAGTGAGCAGAAGGAAGAGAGGTGAGTGGGTGTTTATGTGAGGCTGACTAAAGTCTAATCACTGTGTTACCCAGAGTGGGGCAAAGACCTGTGAAGGAGAAGTAGGTGACTGTCACACAAAACACCTTTCTTTTATTTTGGTTTCAGTAAATGAAATCTTGGTTGTCAAATCCTTTTGTTCCTAGCCCTGTAGTTTTTCCAGTCTGCTATTTGGTTTTCACTCATAGATGTTAATTTGACAAGAGGTGAATTGTTTAAGGTACCATTAGTTTTAGGATCTGCCTCATATTCCCTTGTGTTTAATTTCGTCTGGACCAGTCTTGATTCTGCCTGTTGGGCTATTTTGATAGTGATATCTACTTGGAAGAGTTCAGTGAACATTCTTTACATTTGACTAAAAACAGATTGTGGAATGGTTACATTTCTTACATTGTTCTGCATTCTGGTTTCTTTTTTTCTCCTGGAAAAAAAATCAAATTAGAACTTATTAAAACAAAATATTTGGCTGTTAGGATCTGATCTAGGATTGCCGGTTGGAATTCTTTTCTACTGCAAAAATATACAGCAGGGTTAATAAAAAGAAATTTAAAATTTAAGTTGTAGGGCTGTTAACCTACCCACTTTTCTTCTGCTTTGGTCTCCTCATCTTATCTGTAATCAATAGAGCATTTCGGTGACCGTAGGCCATTTAACAAATGAAGAGGAAACATCTGAGAAATAAGTTGTCTGCAATCTACTTCTTTATAGTGTTTTCATTCTTTGCCTTCAAAAATTTTGATTGAAAACCATTTGTGATTTTAAAAAAGGGTATCAATATGACAATAATTACTGTAAAAGCAGTTCATCTTTATTGAGTACTTTTCTGTGTATCAAGCATTATTTAAGCACTTTTGATGTATTAGCAAGTTTCATAAAAACCTGATAAACAGGTATTGTTATCCACTTCCGTTTTACCAGGAGAAAACTGAAGCAGAGAGAAACTAAGTAACTTTCTCAAAATTATGCTCCTAGTAAGTGCTGGAGCTGGTATACAATAGCTTTCTGGCTCCAGAGCCCGAGTACTTTGAGCATATTTAATAATATATGAGTTTATGAAGGCTCTATGCCTTTAGACATTAACTTCTGAAATAATAAAGGGCCCATGGGAAATAAGAATGGTATGGCATAGTAAAAGTTTTTTTATGTTCCTTTAATATGTATGCTAAAAACTATCTGAATTTTTCTCAAATGTGGCTGTGCCTCAGAATCATTTGAGGAGCCTGTAAAAAAATATGATTTCTGGCACTCATTCCATACTACCTCACTGGAAGCAGGAGTTTGATATAACTGAATTTCTAGCCCAGTGTGAGGCAGATATTTATGCTCCACTGGCATATAACACACAACAAAATAGATTTTTTTTAAAGTTGCATATTGATGTTAGCTAATTATGGCAGCTAACACAGAGTACTTTATCTGTATTATTTCATTTGATTCTTATAACAACCTTGTGGTGTCAGGCAGCATTATTTCCTCCATTTTATAGATGAAGAAACTATTAGGTTGGTGCAGAAATAATTGTGGTTCTTGCCATTGAAAGTAATGGCAAAAACCGCAATTACTTTTGCACCAACCACAAATCTTAGAGTAGTAACATGACCAAGCCCTGTGCTCATTGCAACATTATTCACATTAGCTAACATACGGAAACAACCTAAATGTTCATCAATGAATGAATGGATAAAGAAAATCTGGTATGTGTACACACACACACACACACATTATTATTCAGCCATTAAAAGAAGGAAATCCTGCCAAATACAAAATGGAAGAAGCTGGAAGACATTATGCTAAGTGAAATAAACCAGACACAAAAAGACCAACATCTGTGTGACCTCACTTACATGTAGAACCTAAAAGTGTCAAACTCATAGCAACAGAGAGGTTAGAATGGTGGTTACCAGGGGCTGGGAAATGGGGAGATGTTGGTCAAAGGGTACAAACTTTCAGTTGTAACATGAATAAATTCTGAGGATCTAAGGTACAGCATAGTGACCATAGCTAATAATACTATATTGTTTACGTCTCGAAATTTGCTAAGAGAGGAGATCTTAAGTGTCCTTGTCACACATGGACACACACACACATGCACACAAAAGGTAACTAAGTGTAGTTATGGATGTGTTGCTTAATTTGATTATGGTAATCATTACACAGTGTATACATATATCAAATCATCACATTGTACACCTTGAATATACACAACTTTTATTTGTCAGTTATACCCCATTAAGCCTGGGGAGAAAAACATCACCAACATCACATGGGTAATAAATACATGCTAGAACCAGGATTTGAAAACAGGTCTATCAGAATACGAATACTTGACATTAACTATGTTCACATTGTTGTGAAAAAAATCTCCAGAACTTTTTCATCTTGCAAAACTGCAACTCCATATTCATTAAGCAACAATTCCCTCTTCCCTACCCTCTCCACCCCATCCCCTAGTAACCACCATTGTGCTTTCTGTGTCTGTGAATTCAACTACTTTAAGTACCTCATATAAAAAGGCATGGGGAGGAGAAAGGATGCCGTGCACGTACAAACGACATATGGATTGCTATACTAGCTAATGGGGCAACACATGCATCTGAGATTGCATTTTTCTAGCATTCCATGAAATTGTCAATTAAAGTGGAAAAATATTTATTTATATTTAATAAATATATAAATATATTTACATATATAAATAAATAAATTTCCTAGTAAGTGCTGAAGCTGATATACAATAGCTGGTATACAATACTATATATATATATATATGTATATATATATATGTATATATATGTATATATATATACGTATATATATATGTATATATATATGTATATATATGTATATATATATACGTATATATATATGTATATATATATGTATATATATATACAGAGAGAGAGTGTGTGTGTGTGTGTGTGTGTGTGTGTGTGAGTGAGTCAGTCAGTCGGTCAGTCTTGCTCTGTTGACCAGGCTGGAGTATGGTGGTGTGATTATAGCTATTGCAGTCTCGAACTCCTGGGCTCAAGTGATCCTTCTGCCTCAGCCTTTCAAGTAGCTGGGATTACAGGTGTGTACCACCATGCCTAGCTAATTTTTTTTTTTTAATTTTTAAATTTTCTACAGACAGAGTCTTGCTGTATTGCCCAGGCTGGTCTCAAACCCCTAGGCTCACTCGATCTCCCTTCCTCAATCTCCCAAAGTGCTGGGATTACAGGCGTGCGCTACTGCAATTTACATATAGTAAAACATACGGATTTTAAATGTAGATAGCCCTATGAATTTTGGCACACATATATATCATGTGGCCAATCCCCCCTCCCTCAATCAAGATTTCTATCATGTCAGAAAATTTCTTTTTTGGTTAGTAACCCCCAGCTCTACTCTAGGCAAGCACGGATCTAATTTTTATTACCACATGTTAGTAGTCTTGTCTATTCTAGAACTCTATACGGGTT
Organism: Homo sapiens; assembly: GCF_000001405.40. Lineage (NCBI taxonomy): Eukaryota > Metazoa > Chordata > Mammalia > Primates > Hominidae > Homo > Homo sapiens. Next base: position 50,819,113 of record NC_000001.11, on the reverse strand, counting down.
GAGCATCCCTAGTCTGGATATCTGAAATCCAAAATGCTCCACAATCTGAAACTTTTTGAATGCCAACATGATGCCACAAGTAGAAAATTTTGCCCTTGACCTTATGTGATGGGTCACAGTCTAAATGAAGCCAAAAATTTGTTTAATGCAAAAAATTATTTAAAATATTGTATGAAATTAACTTCAGACTATGTGTATAAGATATATATGAAGCATAAATGAATTTGTATTTAGACTGGGGTCCCATCTCCAAGATTTCTTTTTTTTTTTTGGTGGGGGGATGGAGTCTCGCTCTGTCGCCCAGGCTGGAGTGCAGTGGCGCGATCTCAGCTCACTGCAAGCTCTGCCTCCCGGCCCCCGCCTGGCCTCCAAGATTTCTTATTGTGGGTCTGCGCATATTCCAAAATCTGAAAAAATCCAAAATCCAAAATGATTCTGGTCCCAAGCATTTTAGATAAGGGAGACTCAAGCTGTATGAAGGAAATCATACAGTATGCACTCTTATACCTGGCATTGTTCACTCAACATAATGTCTGAGAGATTTATCCATATTGTTGCATGTATAAGAAATTCATTTTGATTATTGAATGGCATTCTTTTGTGTGAATATTCTTCAATCTGTTTATTCATTGGTTGATGGACATTTTGGTTGTATCCGGTACGAATATTTGTATACTGGTCTTTGGTAGACATTTTTTCTTTTGGGTAAATTCTTAAGAGTGGAATTGTGGGAATACAGCTTAACTTTATATGAGAGTTTTATTTAGCTTTATATGAAACTGCCATGCTGTTTCCAAAGTAGCTGCACCATTTTACATTCCCACCAGTAATGTATGAGAGTTCCACTTGTTCCAAATCCTTGCCATTATTTGGTGTTGATAGTCTTTTTAATTTCACGCACTTTAGTGTGTTTAAGATGGAATTTTTTGTGGTTCTTCTTTAAAAATTAACTTCATTGAGGTATAATTTATGTATAAACTCATTTCCACTGTAAAATTTGATAAGTTTTGACAGATACGTGCACCTGTGTAACTAACACCATAGTTATCCTTAAATTTTCTTGCTGTCCATTCTCTGCCCACCTCAAGCAATTTTTGATCTGTTTTGTTTAACTATAGATTAGATTTTTGTTTTCTAGAGTTTTCATATATGTGGAATCATATAGTATTTACCTTTTTCGAGCCTTTTATTATTGCAGAATATGTACTATTGAAAATATTTTGTGAATTAAAGATAAAATATTCTTTGTTTACAGCTTTATTGAGATATAATTCATGTATCATGGAATTCACCTATTTAAAGAGTAAATTGTACTCTTTAAATATATTCACAGGGTTATGCAACCAACACTATAATCTAATTTTAGGACATTTCATCCCCAGCAAAAGAAACCCTGTGCCTGTTAGTAGTGAATCTCTATTTCTGTTTAAATTTTTTAAAATCTTTTTTATTGTGACAAAATACACATAACATAAAACTTACCATCTTAACCAATTTTAAGTTTGCAGTTCAGTGTCATTAAATATATTCATAATTTTATGCAACCATCACTACCACCCATCTAACTCTTTTCATCTTTTAAAACTGAAACCCTGTACCCATTAAACAGTAACTCCCCATTAACTTGTATAGCCAGCCTCTGGCAACCAACATTTTGCTGTCTGTCTCTATAATTTTGACTACTCTCATTACCTCATGTAAATGGAATCATAGAGTATTTGTCTTTTGTGACAGGCTTATTTCACTTAGTATAATATCTTCAGGGGTCATCCATATTGTAGCACGTCAGAATTTCCTTCCTTTTTAACGCTGAATAATATTCCATTGTATGGATATATTACATTTTGCTTATCCGTCTGTTGATTGACACTTGGGTTGCTTCCATGTTTTATCTATCGTAAATAATGCTCCTATGAACATACAAACATGGGTGTAAGATTATCTCTTTTATGAATAGCCAAAGCCATCCTGAGCAAAAAGAACAAAGTTGGAGGCATCACATTACCCGACTTCAAAATATACTGTAAGACTAAAGTAACCGTAACGCCATGGTACTAGTACAAAAACAGACACATAGACCTAGGGAGCAGAGTGAAGAACCCAGAAATAATGCTGCACACCTACAGCCATCTAATCTTCAACCAGTTAACAAAAATAAGCAACGAAGAAAGGACTCCTTAGTCAATAAATGGTGCTAGGATAGCTGGTTAGCCGTATTCAGAAAAAAATGAAAGTAGACCCCTACCATTCACCATACACAAAAACTAAATTAGGATGGATGAAAGAATTAAATGTAAGACCCCAAACTATAAGAATCTAGAAGAAAACCTAGGAAATGCCATTCTAAACATCGGTCTTGGCAAAGAATTATGACTAAGTCCTCAAAAGCATTTGCAACCGAAACAAAAATTGACAAGTGAAACCTAATTAAACTAAAGAGCTTCTGCCGAGCAAAAGAAGCTATCAATATAGTAAACAAACAACCTACAGAATGGGAGAAAAATATTCGCAACATATGCACCTGACAAAGGCCTAATATCCAGGATTTACAAAGGACTTAAAAATTTGAACAAGCTAAAAAACAAATAGCCCCGTTAAAAAGTGGGCAAAAGCCAGGCGTGGTGGCTCACGCCTGTAATCCCAGCACTTTGGGAGGCCGAGGCGGAAGGATCACGAGGTCAGGAGATTGAAACCATCCTGGCTAACACGGTGAAACCCCATCTCTACTAGAAATACAAAAAATTAGCCGGGCATAGTGGCAGGCGCCTGTACTCCCAGCTACTCGGGAGGCTGAGGCAGGAGAATGGCGTGAACACGGGAGGTGGAGCTTGCAGTGAGCCGAGATCGCGCCTCTGCACTCCAGCCTGGGCGACAGAGCAAGACTCCGTCTCAAAAAAAAAAAAAAAAAGAAAAAGGAAAAAAAAAAGTGGGCAAAAGACGTGAATGACCGCTTCTCAAAATAAGACGTATAATGGCCAACAACATGAAAAAAAAATCACTAATATTCAGAGAAATGCAAATCAAAACTAGGAGATTCCATCTCACACCAGGAAGAATGGCTTTTTTAAAATTTTTTTTTTTTTTTTTAAGACGGAATCTCACTCTATCGCCTAGGCTGGAGTGCTGTACCTTGATCTCAGCTCACTGCAACCTCTACCTCCCAGGTTCAAGCGATTCTCCTGCCTCAGCCCCCAGAGTAGCTGGGGCTACAGGCATGCACCACCATGCCTGGCTAACTTCTTTGGTATTTTTAGTAGAGACAGGGTTTCACCATGTTGGCCAGGCTGGTCTCGAACTCCTAACCTCAAGTGATCCGCCCGTCTCGGCCTCCCAAAGTGCTGGGATTACAGGCATGAGCCACCGTGCCCAGCCAGAATGGCTATTACTAAAAGTAAAAAAATAACAGATGCTGATGAAGCTATAGGGAAAAGGAAACACTTATACCCTGTTGGTAGAAATGTAAATTAGTTTATCCACTGTGGAACGCAGTTTAGAGATTTCTCAAAGAACTTAAAAAGAACTGCCGTTCTACCCAGCAATGCTATTACTAGGTATATATCCAGAGGAAAATACATCTTTCTACCAAAATGTGTTCATCACAGCAGTATTCACCATAGCGAAGACATGGAATCAATCTAGGTGTCCATCAACAGAGTGGATAATGAAAATATGGTACATATACACCATGGGATATTATGCAGCCATAAAAAAGAATGAAATTATGTCCTTTACAGTAACATGGATGCAGCTGGAGGCCATAATCCTAAGCGAATTAACTCAGGACCAAAGCACATTCTCACGTAAGCAGGAGCTAAACACTGGGTACTCAGGGACATAAAGATGGCAACAATAGACACGGGATTACTAGAGGGGAGAGAGGGGAGGTGGACAGGGGTTGAAAAAGTACCTATTAGGTACTCTGCTCACGACCTGGGATCAGTCATACACCAAACCTCAGCATCATGCAATATAGCCATGTAACAAATCGGCAGATGTACCCCCGGAATCTAAAATAATTATTGAAATTATTAAAAATAATTTTAAAATATCTTTTTAAGAGACTGCTTTTAATTCTTTTTATTGTATACCCAGAAGTGGAATTGCTGCACCATATGATAATTCTCTTTTTAACTTTTTGAGGAAATGTCATATTGTTTGCGACAGCAGCGATACCATTTTACATTCCCATCAGCAGTACAAAAGGGTTTTAATTTCTCCACATCTTGCCAACACTTATCTTCTGGTTTTGTGTGTGTATGTGTGTGTGATAGTAGCCATCCTAATGGGTGTGAGGTGGTATCTCATTGTAGTTTTGATTTGCTTTTCTCTAATGATTTGTGGAGCTCAGCATCTTTAATGATTAGTGATGTTGGGCATCTTTCCATGTACTTATTGGCCATTTGTATGTCTTTGGAGAAATGTCTATTCAAGTCCTTTGCCCATTTTTTAAATAAGGTTGTTGGTTTTTGTTTGTTTTGAGTTAGTATTTACTCTTACGTATCTAACTATTCGCTTAGCATAATGTTTTTGAGATACATACATGTAGTTGAATATATCTATAATTGGCTTGTTTTTTGAATATCTATAATGTTTTTGAGATACAGCCATGTAGATGAATGTATCTGTAGTTGGTTTGTTTTTTTGAATTTATCTGTAGTCGGTTTGTTTTTTATTTTATTGTACCCACACAATATGATATATCCAAAACAACATTTGTCTGTAGTTGGGCATCTGGTTTGCTTCTAATTATTGGGTATAATATTAGTAATATGATGCCTAATGTTATTTTGCAATATAGCATACACTAATATGCATACTTACTATGTATACTGTACATATAATATGCAGCTATAATATTAGGCTAATATTATACCTAGTATTACTTTGCCTAGGCATATTATGCCTTATATGCAGCTATGCATATTAGTATAGAGTTGTCTTCCCTTATTGGTGGTTTCAGTTACCTGCAGTATAGTACAGTGAGATATTTAGGGAGGGAAAGACCACATTCACATAACTTTTATTACAATATATTGTTACAGTTGTTCTATATTATTATTGCTGTTAATATCTTACTGTACCTAATTTATAAATTAAAGTTTATCATAACTATATGTATAGGTAAAAAACATAGTATATATATATGGTGTGGTACTATCTGTAGTTTCAGACATCTTCTGAGTGTCTTGTAATGTATTCCCTGAAGACAAAGAGGAACTATAGTATGAATCTTTGGAGCATATGTTTTCATTTTCTTCAGGATAAATACTTAAGAGTGGAATTGCTAGGTCATTTTTTTTTTTTAAATGAAGCTGTGGATTTATTCTGAGTGGTATGGAGAGATGCCGACAATACAGTGTTAAATGAAAAGCATAAAGCATCCAGCACTTTGGGAGGTCAAGGCGAGAGAGTCACTTGAGCCTAGGAATTTGAGACAAGCCTCAACAACATGGTGAAACTCCGTCTCTACAAAAAAATTTTTAAAATTAGTTGGGCATGGTGGTGCTTGCCTGTAGTCCGAGCTACTCAGGAGGCTGAGGTGGGAGGATTGCTTCAGCCATGGAGGTTGAGGCTGCAGTGAGCTATGATTGTGCCACTACACTCCAACATGGGCAACAGAGGGAGACCTTGTCTCAAAAAAAAATTTTTTTAAAAGGAAAGCATAAAATAGCACATATAGTAAGATCTCATTTTTGGAAAAATGTGTATGCAGGAGGAAAAAAGACTGGAAGGATATACACTAAAATATTAGCAATGGTTTTCCTCTCAGTGAAATTTTCTTCTTTATACTTTTCTCTATTTTCTGATTTCTTCTGCAATAAGTATGTATAAGTTTAATAATTTAAAAAATGAAATTTTTTTTCAATTTTTCCCCTGTGCTTTTCTTTTTTTTAAAATTTATTTTACATTCAAGAGTACATGTGCAGGTTTCTTATATAGGAAAATTGTGTGTCACAGAGGTGTGGAGTACAGATTAATTAATCACTAATAAGCATAGTACCTGATAGGTAGTTTTCTGTCCTCACCTTCCTCCCACCCGCCACTCTCAAGGAGGCCCCAGTGTCTGTTGCTCCCTTCTTTGTATCTATGTAACTGAGTATTTACCTCCTACTTATAAGTGAGAACACACTATGTTTGGTTTTCTGTACCTGCGTTAGTTTGGGATAATGGCCTCCAGCACCATCCGTGTTGCTGCAAAGGACATATTGTTGCTCATTTTTATGGCTGGGTAGTTATTCTGTGGTCTAAATGTACCATATTTTCTTTTCCAGTCCACCCTTGATGAGCATTTAGGTTGATTCCATGTCTTTGCTATGGTGAATAGTGCTGTGATGAACAGATACACGCATGTATCTTTATGGTAGAACAATTTATATGCCTTTGGGTATATACGCAGTAATGATGGTGGGGTCGAATGGTAATTCTTTCTTAAGTTCTTTGAGAAATTGCCGAACTGGTTTCCAGAATGGCTGAACTAAGTTACATTGCCACCAACAGCATGTAAGCACTCCCTTTTCTCTGCTACCTCACCAGCACCTTTTATTTTTAGAGATTTAAATAATAGCCATTCTGACTGATATGAGATGGTTTCTCTTGTGGTTTTGATTTGCATTTCTCTAATGATTAGTGATATTGAGCATTTTTTCGTATGCTTTCTGGCTGCATGTATGTCTTCTTTTGAAAAGTGTTTGATCATGTCATTTGCCCACTTTTTAATGGGGTTGTTTGTTTTTTGCTCATTAAGTTGTTTAAGTTTCTTATAGATTCTGGATATTAGACCTTTTTTGGATACGTATATCTTCTCCCATTCTGTAGGTTGCAAATATTTTCTCCCATTCCATTGGTTGTGTGATTACTCTGTTAATAGTTTCTTTTGCTGTGCAGAAGCTCTCTAGTTTAAATATGTCTCATTGGTCATTTTTTGTTTTTGTTGCAGTTGCTTTTGGCGTGTTTGTCATGAAATCTTTGCCAGGACTTAGGTCCAGAATGGTATCTCCTAGGTTATCTTTGAGGTTTTAGGTTTTACATTTGAGTCTTTAATTCATCTTGAGTTGATTTTTGTATATGCTGTATGGAAGGGGCCCAGTTTCAGTCTTCTGTATATGACTAACCAGCTACCCCAACACCATTTATTGAACAGGGAGTCCTTTCCCCATTGCTTATTTTTGTTACCTTTATCAAAGATCTGGTGGTTGTTGGAGTGTGGCATTGTTTCTTGGCTCTCTATTCTGTTCCATGGGTCTATGTGTTTTTGTATCAGTACCATGCTGTAATGGTTACTGCAGCTTTATGGTATAGTTTGAAGTCAGGTAATGTGGTGCCTCCAGTTTTTTGCTTAGGCTCTTTTTGCTTAGGATTGTCTTGGCTACTCAGGCTCCTTTTTGGTTCCATATGAATTTTAAAATAGTCTTTTCTAATTATGTGAAGAATGTCCTTGGTAGTTTGATACGAATAGCACTGAATCTGTAAATTGCTTTAGGCAGTGTGGCCATTTTCACAATATTGATTCTTCCTATTGATGAGCATGAAATGTTTTTTCCTTTCTTTGTGTCATGTGTGATACCTTTGAGCAATCTTTTGTAATTCTCATTACAGAGATCTTTCACCTCCCCTAGTTAGCTGTATTCCTAGGGTATTTCATTTTCTTTGTGGCTATTGTAAGTGGAATTGCATTCTTGTATTGACTCTCAGCTTGGACATTGTAGGTATATAGAAATGCTACTAATTTTTGTATATTGGTTTTGTTGTTCTTGTTGTTTTTGCTGTTGTTGTTTTTGTTGTTTGACCCCTCTGTTACTCAAGCTGGAGTGCAGTAATTCGATCTTGGCTCACTGCAACCTCTGCCTCCTGGGCCCAAGTGATCTTCCCATGTCAGTCTCCTGAGTAGTTGGGACTACAGATGCACACTCCCTTGCCTGGCTAATTATTTCTGTATTTTTTTATAGAGACGGGGTTATGCCATGTTGCTCACACTGGTCTTGAACTCCTGAGCTCAAGCAATCCTCTTGCCTCAGCCTCCCAAAGTGCTGGAATTACAGCCATGAGCCACCATGCCTGGTCCATGTTTTTTGAGACAGAGTCTCACTCTGTCACCCAGGCTGGAACAGTGGCACGATCTCACCTCTCTGCAACCTCTGCCATCCAGGCTTAAGCGATTCTCCTGCCTCAGCCTCCTGAATGGCTGGGACCACAGGTGCCACCATGCCAGGCTAATTTTTGTGTTTTCAGTAGAGACGGGGTCTCACCATGTTGGCCACGCTGGCCTCAAACTCTTGGACTCAAGTGATACACCCATCTCGGCCTCCCAGAGTGCTGGGATTACAGGTGTGAATCACCGTGCCTGGCCTGACCATTTTTGTACCTTAATTTTATATTCTGAAATGTTGCTGGAGTTGTTTATCAGAGTTAGTAGCTTTTGGACAGAAACTATGAGGTTTTCTAGGTTTGCAATCATATCATCTGCAAACAGAGATAGTTTGACTTCCTCTCTTTCTATTTGGATGCCTTTTATTTCTTTCTCTTGCCTGATTGCTCTGGATAGGACTTCCAGTGCCATGTTGAATAGAGTAGTGAGAGAGGGCATCCTTTTCTTGTTCAGGTTTTCAAGGGGAATGCTTCCATCTTTTGCCCATTCAGTGTGATGTTGGCTATGGATTTGTCATAGATGGGTTTGTATTATTTTGAAGTGTGCTCCTTCAGTGCCTAGTTTGTTGAGGGTTTTTTAACATGAAGGATGGTGAATTTTATTGAAAGCCTTTTCTGTATCTTGAGATGATCATGTTGTTTTGTTTTTAGTTCTGTTTATGTGGTAAATCACATTAATTGATTTGTGTATTTTTTTTAATTTTTTTAGTTTTGAGACAGAGTCTCGCTCTTGTTGCCCAGGCTGGAGTGCAATGGTGCAATCTTGGTTCACTGCAACCTCTGTCTCCCAGGTTCAAGCATTTCTCCTGCATCAGCCTCCCAAGTAGCTGGGACTACAGGCATGCACCACCACTCCTGGCTAATTTTGTATTTTCAGTAGAGATGGGGTTTCACCATGCTGGTCAGGCTGGTCTCGAACTGCTGACCTCATGTGATCCACGGGCCTCAGCCTCCCAAAGTGCTGGGATTACAGGCATGAGCCACTGCGCCAAGCCAATTGATTTGTGTGTATTAAACCAACCTTGTATCCCAGGGCCCACTTGATCATAAAGCATTAGCTTTTGGATATGCTGCTGAATTTGGTTTGCTAGTATTTTGTCAAGGATATTTGCATCTGTGTTCATCAATGATATTGGCCTGAAGCTTTCATATTTTGTTGAAATATGCCAGGTTTTGGTGTCAGGATGATGCTGGCCTCAAACAGTGAGTTAGGGAGGAGTCTTTCTTTCTTAAATATTTGGAATAGTTTCACTAAGAATGGTATCAGATCTTCTATATACATCTGGTAGAATTTGGCTGTGAATGACTGTGTCTGGTCCTGGCCTTTTTTTCATTGGTAGGCTTATTATTAGTCATTCAATTTCATAATTTATTATTGGTCTGTTCAGAGATTCAGTTTCTTCATGATCCAATCTTGGGAGGTTGTATGTTTCCAGAGATTTATTCATTTTTTCTACGTTTTCTAGCCTTTGTGCATAGAGAGATGTTCATAGCAGTCTCTGAGTGTTCTTTGTATTTCTCTGGATTTGGTGGTAATGTTCCCTTTGTTATTTTTTATTGTGTTCATTTGGAGCTTTTATCTTTTTTTTCTTCATTAGTCTAGCTAGTTATTATGTCAGTTTTATTTATTCTTTCAAGGAACTAACTCTTGACCTTATTGATCTTTTATATGCTGTTTTCATGTCTCAGTTTCCTTCATTTCAGCTTTGATTTTGGTTATTCTGCTAGCTTTGTGGTTGGTTTCCTCTTGTTTCTTTAATTCAAGGTGTGATGTTAGGTTGTTAATTTGAGGTCTTTCTAACTTTTTGCTGTGGGTGTTCAGCGCTATAAACTTTTCTCCTAACATTGCTTTAGCTATGTCCCAGAGTTTCTGATATATTGTATCTTTGATGATCTGTCTAATAATGTCAGTAGAGTGTTGAAGTCTCCTATATATTATTGTGTGGTTACTAAGTCTCTTCATTGATCTCTAAGTATTTGCTGTTTGAATCTGGGTGCTTCTGTGTTTGGTGCATATATATTTAGGATAGTTAGGTCTTCTTGTTGAATTAAACCCTTCAGCATTATGTAATGCCCTTACTGGATGTGCTGCTGGATTTGTTTTGCTAGTATTTTGAATGATCCAAAAATCACTCAAAAACATACAATTTAATGGAAGTTAACCTGCTCCTGATTGACTTTGGGTAAACAATAAAATAGAGGCAGAATTCAAGAAATTCTTTGAAACTAATGAGATCAGATATACAATATATCAGAAACTCTGGGATATAGCTAAAGCAGTGTTAGGGAGAAAAGTTTTTTTTTTTTTTTTAAATCTTTATTGATTTAAAGTGTGTTTTATCTGAAATTAGAACAGCAACCTCTGCTTTGTTGAGTTTTTGTTTGCTTGGTAGATTTTTCTCTGTTTACTTTGAGCCTGTGGGTGTGATAGGTCTCTTGCATTTATATGTGTGATGGGTCTCTTGATGACAGCATACAGTTAGGTCTTGCTTCCTTATCCAACTTGCCAGTCTGTGCCTTTTAATTAGGGCATTAACCCATTTACATACGAGGTTAATATTAATAGGTGAGGATTTATCCTGTCATCTTGTTGTTACCTGGTTGTTACGCATCTTAATTGTGCGGTTGCTTTATATTATCAGTGATCTATGTACTTAAGTGTGTTTTTATGATGGCCTGTATTAGTCTTTCTTTTCCATATTTAGCACTCCCTTAAGGAGTTCTGGTAAGTCAGGTCTAGTGGTAACAAATTCCCTTAGCATTTGCTTGTCTGAAAAGGATCTTATTTATCCTTTTCTTATGAAGCTTATTTTAGTTTGGCTGTATATGGAATTCTTGGTTGGAATTTTTTTTCTTTAAGAATGCTGAATATAATCCCTCAATCTCTTCTGGCTTGTAGGGTTTCTGCTGAAAGTTCCACTGTTAACCTGAGGAAGTTTCTTTTTTGGTGACCTCCTTCTTCCTAGCTGCCTTTAATATTTTATCTTTCACTTTGATCTTAGAGAATCTGATTACTCTGTCTTGGGCAAGGTCGTCTTTTATAGTACCTTGCAGGGGTTCTGTGCATTTCCTGAATTTGAATGTTGGCATGTTTAGCAAGGTTGGAAAAAATTTCATGAATGACACTCTAAAACATGTTTTCCATGTTTCTTGCTTTCTCTTTTAGGGATGCCAATGAGATGTAGATTTGGTCTCTTTAGATAATCCCATATTTCTTGGAGGCTTTGTTTATTCTTGAATCTCTTTTTTTAATTTTTGTCTGACTGAATTATTTTGGAGAACTGGTCTTCAGACTCTGAGATTCTTTCCTCTCTTTGGTTGATTTCCTGCTGTTAATATTTGTTCATATTGTTTGCCTCTGTGTCCCCACCCAAATCCCATGTTGAATTGTAATTCCCAATGTTGGGGGAGGGACCTGGTGGGAGGTGATTGGACCATGGGGGTGGATTTACCCCCAGTGTTCTCATGATAATGAGTTCTCATGAGATCTGATAGTTTAAAAGTGTGTGGCACTTCCCCCTTGAGTCTCTCTGTCTCTCCTGCTGCCATGTGAAGATGTGCTTGCTTCCCCTTCGCCCTACCGGCATTACTGTAAGTTTCCTGAGGACTTCCCAGCCATGCCTTCTATACAGCCTGTGGAACTGTGAGTCAATTAAACCTCTTTTCTTTATAAATTACCCAGTCTGAAGTAATTCTTTATATCAGTGTGAGAATGAACTAATACACCTGTGACCGTGTTTTAAAATTGTTGGAGTCTTTCAGCTCTATCAGATTCTTTCTTACAATTGCCATTTGTCTTTTATCTCCTGTATTATTTTATTGTATTCCTTAGAATCCTTTTATTGGGTTTCAACATTCTCTTGAATCCAGATGATTTTTGTTTCTATTTATACTTTCAATTCTGTTTCTTTCGTTTCAGCCATTCAGTCTGGTTAAGACCCAGTACTGGGGAATTAGTGTGGTTGTTTTTAGGTGAGAAGACACTGTGCTTTTTTGAGTTGCCAGAGTTCTTGCTGCACTGGTACCTTCTCATCATTGTGGGTGATATTCCTTCAATCTTTGAAAATGCTAATCCTTTGAATGTGTTTGTTTGTTTGTTTTTTTGCTTTTGTCTTCTTTGATGCATTTGGAGGTTTAATTGTAGTATAAGGTGAGTTCAGTGAAGTCACTTCCTTTGTGAAAGATTTTAGGGAGCTAGGGCTAAGCTCATCCCTCCTAGGCTTCATGCTCTCACTTTAGGGGCCTGACACCAGGCCCCCGGCATTCTTGTCTGGACTCTTGAGGTTAGGAACATGCTGTACTGGAGCTTCTGAGATGTTCCCAATCCTCTGGCCATGACACCTCCATGGGTGGTGCTAGCCAATGCCCTTTGTCTCAGCGGGTTAGTGGGCTCTGCGTTCATTTGTGTTTCAGCAGCTGTGGTAGTGTGGCAGGGTGCACATACATAAAATGGAGTGGGGTAGTGGTGGAAGCAGGGCTGTGGTATGTGCTTCCACTGGTGTCGGCTGCCTCCGTCACATGTTTACCTGTATATCAAACTATCACACAGTTTTGAAAGTTGTTTGTACAGTGTATGAGATGTTCTGTTGCTTGATATTATTGCTAATACTTGTATTATCTGATTTAATTTAACCATTGGGTGTGTGGTGGTATCTTATTGTGGTTTTAGCTTGTATTTGTTTGATGACTAATTTGAATATCTTTTTATGTGCTTTTCATCATTCACATACCTTCTTTTGAGAAGTGTCTGTCTCCCCCATTTTCTTATTGACTTTCCCCCATTTTCTTATTGACTTGTCTTGTTAAGTCTCCAGAATTTTTATAAATTTTTAATATAAATCTATCTCAGATACATGTATTATAAATACTTTTTCCTAGTCTGCAGCTTGTCTTTTTATTTTCTTAATGGTATCTTTCAAAGGGCAAACACTATGAATTTTAATGTCCAATTTAGCAATTCTTTATTTTTCATCATTTGCCTACCCATTGTTGTGACAGTTTTCTTCTTTGTTTTCTTGGTGTCCTTCTCTGTAAAATTGAGGTAATGTGAGAGTTAAATGAATTGATATATGTAATGTACTTTGAAAATGCCTCACATTTAATAAAAATGGTACAGTGTTAGCTGCCATTATTGTTACCACAACTCCTTTACTCATAAGTTATTTTTGAGGCTTTTGGATGCTGTCTCTACATCCCTGTCTCATCTTCATTCCTCTTAAAAATTTGTCATTGCCATTTTCTTTAAGGGTCTTTTGTTTACAAAAAAGGACTAAAGTTAAGATTTTCTGTATATTAGAGAAAGGATATCCTAGCATTCCATGTAGGGTATGATTTATATTACATGCCACTGTTTTGTAATCTACCAATTTACCAGTGACTTGGTTTCCTTTCATATGTGATGTTACAATGAGATTTATAGAAATTTTTGCCATTTCCTTCCCCCAAAAGGTCTAAAGCCCACCATGAATGTCATGATTTTCCCCTTTTGTTAAGGCTCCTTTGGTCATCTCTGACATTGGCTTCCACTGTATTTTATGCATACCTTACATGCCTTTTAGTGTGCTATGGAAGATGGCATTTTAGAGGGTATTGTTTTCGTTGTCAGTTTTGCTAAACAGAATTTAGGGGCTGGATTTTGATTGAGGTACATTAATTGGATTAAAAATATGAACATAATTAGCATGAAGGCAGTAATAGTTATACCAAAATGGAGTTTCAAATGAGTATAAACTAGGTCAAGGCAAGATGTTCTTCTTAAAATACATTACAGTATGATAATGATCCACCATAGTTGTTTGAGTCAGTCTCAGAAATGGAGATATTGTCCTGATTCTGTTCTCTATTATTTTGACCAAATATTTAATCAGTCTATCATTTTCCTATTATAGAGTGAGAGATATAATATCTTCCTAGCAAAAATAATATTAAGCAATGAGATAGTTAGTATTTAGCAAGTGATATAGTTCTTATAATAAACTCAGTATAATTTTTAGTCTACAGTCCAGATCTTATTGATCTCTTTTCTAAAAGTATCCCCTCCATCTGAGCCCCTCTCCTGAGCCCTAGATCAGGTACTGGGCTATCCACAAAGTAGTGCGTAGTGCTTGGCAATGAATAGGCAATTGGTAAGAGTGTTGTATTTAACCAAACTTTCAATTTTATCCCTGTTTCTTGTGGCTTTTTTTGTCTCTCTTTCCTGTGGATTCTATAAACTCAAGAAATCAATATTCTTATGGAGGGAAAAAAAGCAAACAAAAACTTACTGCAGCTGTTCTTCTTACAGTTTCTGTCTTTATGCTTTTCACACAAATGTTTTAAGAGAGTCAATTATTCTTAGTTTCCCATGTATCTTTTTAGCTTTTATAATTTAGTTATTGTTAAACTGTTTTAAACTATGTCTAATAACCTTAGGCCTCATAATTTTAGTGTATTTTCAGATTTTCTAGCTTTTGTGTAATAGCTCCTTATAGTTTCTTCTTTGCCTCCTCTGTAACACTTTCCCAGTCTTTTTCCTCCTGTCTGTCCTTTACATTTTTATTTTTATTTGTTTTGTTTTTAATGAATTACTCCAGATTTTATCTTCATCTCCTTTTTCTTCAACAAAGAAGATAGCTGAGTGAGGGAGTGAATTAAAATATTTCTAGGGCTTCGTTTATTTGCCTTTAAGCAGATGTTGCTTTCTTGAACGTAGCTGTGATTTTTCAGTTACTTTTTGGACATCTCCATTTTGGTATTAGCTGAATTTTTCATAGTAAAACTAATTGTTGAATATACTTGGTCCTACGTAGAAGGCAAGCTGTCTTATGTTCATCACTATGTCTTAATTGTCTAGCATAGTGCTTGGTACATAGTTGGCAATTAATACACATTTATTATATGAACAATTGATATTCTCCTGTGACCTGAAAGTTAACATGTTCAAAATTGAACATGTTGGAATCTGGAATTTTCCTTTGCTTCTGTATCTTCCCATTGTTTGAAGCATAGATCAAATGTTCCCTCTTCCCTAAAGTTTTCCTTAATCATCACAGTCAAAAATCTGTTTCCCTATTCTCTATTCCTTTACCAAATTATACTTTTATTGTACCTTTATTCTGGATTACATTTTATTTATTTATGTACAGAGTTTGCTGTACATAAGATTGAGGTCACTTGCTAACTTCTCCAAGATAAATTAACTATTTAATAATCTAAGGTTTTGGGAAAGGAAAGGGTTGAAAAGTGGATTTGTATCACTGTTCCTTCTGTATAGAATCCCCTCCCCATCTTGCTACTTTTCACTCATTCTTCAGCCTCAGGTGAGGCATTATTTTATCCAGGTGTTTCTGAGCCTGCTTTAAGTCTTGAATAGGTGACTTTTCTTTGTATTCCTCTATTATTAATTCCTTTAATAAATAATTATTGAGTGCCTTTATTGTGCAGACACTATGCCAGACAGGCCTTTGAGAAACAAAAAGGTAGGACTTTTGTGGCTGAGTATGTAATGTTTAGCTCATTATACAATTACGTATTACACAGATAAGGAAACTGAGGCTCAGATAAGTTCAGTGAATATACTAAGGTTACAAAATTAATAAATGGGAGAGCCTGGTTTCAGACTTTAGACTTTCTGAGTCCTTAGTATTCTTCCCATTATACTTTGGCATTCCTCAGTGAAAATGTTTTTTGAAAGATTTGAACCAAATCTTTCTAAGCTCTGGTATTTTGTTTCTTTTCCAGCACCACAGAGCATTCTCTTAACCATTTACTGTTACTTAGTAAAGGAGATACATGTACATGGAACCAATGCTGTTGACCAAAAGAGGATAGTTAACTTGATACTGGGCAGAAATACTTCCACTGAATTTGTGTCTTTGAAAACTGATTTTAGCATTTGCTTTACTCAAAGGATTTACAAGCCTCCAGAGTCGTCAGGGTTCTGTGGTATCTATTGTCTATGTTAATCTATGGATTTGTTTTATTTTTCCACTGGAACATTACAGCTCTCAAAATTCATAGCAAACACCCTACACTCTATTTATTTCCATTCAACAGTACGATGGTGTGAATTTGACAAAACTGTGGCAAATACTTAAGTTAGTATTTCACAAAATACCCAAACTCCTTTTGGCAGTTGATTTCCAGGCAGCTGATAAAACATTGAATTGGTAGGTGTTTTTTGTTTTTGTGGGTTATTCATTTTGATGTGGATACGGAAGGGTAGGGAAGGAGAAGTTGTTATGGTATAAAGACAGAGTTGGAAAAGTTGGGCTTATGTTGTTGTTTGTTTGTTTTTGTTTTGTTTTCCTGAGAATATTCTCTGTTACCCTGCAGTAAGCTGTCTACATTCCAGGATTCGACAGCCTGCTTGCTTAATAGCCTTCAAAAACATACATGTCCTGTCATACCTGTGCTATGTTCTGACTACTTGGTAACTTGTTAGCTCAGAGATTAATTTTAGGGATGTTTTATATAAGGAAACCTCTCCTCTAATGCTACCTCCTTTTGTTACCTGTTAATAGTCATGGTGTTAGGTTTATTGAATGACTTTTGCCTCTATATTATTTTCTTCTCAATGTTCTTTTCATTAGGAATATAATGGCCGGGCGCGGTGGCTCATGCCTGTAATCCCAGCACTTTGGGAGGCCGAGGCGGGTGGATCACCTGAGGTTGGGAGTTCGAGACCCGCCTGACCAACATGGAGAAACCCTGTCTCTACTAAAAATACATAGTTAGCTGGGCGTAGTGGCACATGCCTGTAATCCTAGCTATTCAGGAGGCTGAGGCAGGAGAATTGCTTGAACCTGGGAGGCGGAGGTTGTGGTGAGTTGAGATTGCACCATTGCACTCCAGCCTGGGCAACAAGAGTGAAACTCCATCTCAAAAAAAAAAAAGAATAGTAATCATAACATGAAATAATACATTCATTTGTGATTTTACATCTTGCTCTTCTGAGTTTGACAAAGGAAATAATGTTTATAAGATGAAGTTACTGATTTTTCCTGTTTTGACATCCTTAAACTTTGGGTTCTGTGAGTGTTTTGCCTGAATCAGAACTGTGGAACTAGACTTTATGACTCAAGGTTTGGGGATATTACATGTCAAATGCATGTTTTTAAATTTTCTAAAATACAATTTTATAACTGAGAAATATAGAAACATTTAATAGACAACATTTTGCATCACTAAAAAAATTAGTATTATGTTTAAATACATTTTTAAAAATATACTTATTTCCTTTTAAAGTGTTCTCCACCACACTTGGGCATTTATCTGTTTCTTTAAATGGCCTTCTCTGTTTCTTGTTTGCAGGCAGCTATCAATGGTGTAATACCACAGGAAAATGGCATTCTACAAAGGTATGTTATAAAGTGCTTACCAGTTAAGATGACTTAGCAGAACAAAGAACAGAGCTAGCTGTTAATTTTTTTGTTTTATTTTTTAATAGAGCATTGATTTGGGGTATATAAGTTCATTAACATTGTTCTTTCAGATATTTCTATGTGTTATATTAATTCCCCAAAGTCTCCAACTTTTAACTGTATAAAATTATTGCATATTTGGTAACACCATCTTTTAAGGTGGTTTTAATTTTTAAGAAAGCTTTTCAAGCTTATCCTTTGATTTATAAGATGAAAGGAACTGAATTTTTTAAACTATTAGCACTGGCTATTGGTTTACTAACCCCAGAATATGGTTATCAAACTTAACTATACAGGCTTTATCTCCAGGCTTACTACAGACTTTTTCTCCTTCCCTTTTGGGTTCTAAATCAAGTATATGATAATTTGCAACAATTTGAGGCAGTTCTTAATAATGCAACTCTTCAGAGTACTGAACTATTTTACTTGAAGTATCCAGTGTTAACAAGTGGAATGGTTTTAGAGGTTTTGTGTTATGGCCAGAAGGTAAAACTGGAAGATGTGGCCAAGAGAATTATAATAGTTGCAATGTAATTGCTTGAGTTAAAAATAAATTCATAACTTTTGTCTCCTTAAAATTGGAGACTCTGGTTCTGAATTAAAGAACACTTTATAAAGTCTTAGGAGGTAAAACCATTCTCCCTTCCAAGTGTAGTTTAATTACTTGATTTTCCCCCCTTTCCTCTCAATTCAAACATTGGCTTGAATTTTGGTGGCTGGGATTTCTAAGTCACTGAAGCATGATCTGGTAAGTGCGGATGAGGCGAACAGAAACAGCAGATTAGGAATGAGGTCGTTTTGGAGAGCAAGAAAAGTACTCTTGCAGAAACATCAGGAAGTTCACCATGAACTGCAAGACATGCTGTTCTTGATAAGAAACCATATATTTAGGATGGAAGCAAAATTTGTTTGATACCTGTACCACCTTTAATGGTTGATGGTTTTTAGATGAAAGCAATGATAAAATAGACCTATACCCCCGTTCCTCTCTTCTAAACTGTCAGAAAGATTTTCATCCAGAGTAAATGTGGCAGATTTCTAGAGTTTCTACCAACTTCTGTTTGTTTAATCTTTAGTTTGTTGTTGTTTGTTCCAGAGCATTCAATTCTATCGAAGCCCTTGTCTAGAAAGCAAACCAGATGAACTTCCTTTATGGCTATTTTTTTCTTAGTTTAGAAAGTTTCACACTGCTAAATATCACTCCAGTTTTATTTTTGAGTAAATGTTATTGCCACTTTTTGTGCCAAAATTTTTGCTATGCAAAATCTGTGGGTTCAGCTACTGGATTCTGAGTACATATTGGATATATCATCCAATTAATAGCATTTGCCATAGGTGAACTGTAGAAACTTCTTCTCCCCTGGAAACATTCCATCTTTCCTGTCACAGATTATACTTTTTATTTAATATATTTTATGACTAGAAATTCAGTATTAAACTGATTTCTCATAAAGTTACTATAATATTTGGGGTTGAACTGTGATCAGAGTAGGATTTTGTTGGTTTTGTTTGCTTTTTTTGAAGGAATGAAACATATGTCTACATGAGAAAATCAGTTGTATCTAGTAATATTCTTCAACTATTTCCTTCCTAACCTTGTTCTTTAGCTTTGAAATCATTGTGGATTTAACATAACTGAAAATTCCTCTTGTATGTCTACTGACCAGAGGAAAACAAAAGAGGGCTCTTTGTGTACTTTCTTATAAGCTGAACACTGAAAGTAGAAGGCACGATGCTGGAAATGGTATATGCAGGCAGTTAAAAGGATCTTTGTTTTGTATGTTTGGTTTTTATAATAAAGTCGAATATATGCAGTCTGTGTATACATCTGACTGTTAAATTGTTAGTCCATCCCTTAACAAAGAAAGGAGGTATCAAATACTATAGTTTAAATAAATTACTATATAAAGCAATATTCTCATGAGATAATGAACTTTTGGTAGGAAATAAATACCCACCTCACTGATACATGTGTTGATACTAAATTCCTTTGACCAGAGATTATTCAAAACAAAAAACTGTACTAATTATCTGCAATCTAAAGAAGTTTCTTTTTTTTTTTAAGAGAAAGAAGAGCCAGTGTGTGCCTTATAGCTTTTCTTGAAATCAGGTTTTTGTGTGAATCCAAGAGGGTATATGATTTTTAATGTAACCATAAACTCCAAGGGAAAGAAACTTTTTTTTGAATGCTTAAGGCAGTGTGCTGGGCAATTGACATATTTTTCTTCATTTAATACTCACTACAACCTGTAAGAGGTAAATGTTTACATTTTACATATGAGGAAATTCAAAGTTAGAGAGTTTACATAGACTTGCCCAAGTTCACAAGCATAGAAGCAGGTAGTGAAGTCTAGATTGTCTTATTTTAAAAGCCATGCTCTATCCTCTCTATTACTCTGTCTTCTTCAAGATCAGTCAGTGAGGTATTTCCAAACTTTTAAGATTTTTCCTTTGAGAGCTGGGCGTGGTAGCTCACGCCTATAATTCCAGCACTTTGGGAGGCCGAGGCTGGCAGATCACTCGCGGTCAGGAGTTCAAGACCAGCCTGGCCAACATGGTAAAACCCTGTCTCTACTAAAAATACAACTTGAACCTGGGAGGCCAAGGTTGCAGTGAGCCAAGATTGCACCACTGCACTCCAGCCTAGGTGACAGAGTGAGACTCCATCTTAAAAAAAACACGAACAGAAAAAGATTTTTATTTTGGGTAAAGAAGGTGAAATCCAATACATGTACATAATGTCTGTCTTCCACAGCTTGGTTTTTTATAGTTATTATTTTAGTCGTAAGCTATTAAAGGCAGATATTATTCTTCCTCATTTTACAGGTAGATAGGATAAGTCATAAAGTGACTTGGCCCAGATGATACAGCCTGATGTTGATGGAGTCAGGAATATAAGCAAGTCTTCTGACTCTTTCTCCAAGGCTTATTTCATGAGACAGTATATTGCTAACACAGCATACTATGTGTAACTTATGCAGTCATAAATGTAAACTATTCATTCAGTCATAAACAGACACTGAGTCTGTGTATTTACATGGTCCAGTATATTATTTATTTAACATATTGTCCAGAGCCTCTTTAAAAATTGTTTTTGGAGATATTTTTAGGAAGAAATGTTAGTGAATTACTTGTATAACTGGAGAGCTGATGCTATGTTTTCTAAAAGTAAACTTTATAAATTAATAGCATAATTTTAGCCACTCACTAAGTGGATGGTATTTATTAACTCATATTTGTTTTATTACCCAGACAGGTGTACAATTTGTTCATTTGTCCATTGTTTAATTCATTGAGAACACCTAGAGAAGATGTTTATTTTCAAACCTTGACCATTAGGCTTTCAGAATATGTAAATGCCCAGGTTTTGTACTTAAAAAATAGCCATTATAGCCAGTTAGTTTCTATGTATTGCTTTGTCTAATTTCCATTTAAAAAATCTGATTTGATTCACAAGTTTATCTCTAAAATAAATGCGGAGTTTTTTTTTTTTTTTAAGGAGGTGCCTAAAAATTTTGCCATGGCATGGACTTTAAAGAATTGAAATAATAAACAAGTGCAGAGTTCCTGTTTAGTTTTCTTTCTGTTCATTGCCTTCCAAGAGCCTGAGTTGTTTGTAGAGGAAAGTTGAGTAAGGATAAAAACACTTATTTGGTTGAAGTTTTAGAACTAAAATAGATTTCTACATAGAGCTTCCAAATCGGTGTTATTTTTATATTTATTTATTTTTAAGGTCTTGCTATGCTGCTTAGGCTGGACTTGAACTCCTCCTGAGCTCAAGCAATCTTTCTGACTCAGCCTCCTGAGTAACTGGGTCTACAGGCACGTGACACCTTGCCCAGTTTCCCATTAGTATCTTTTTTTGTTGTTGTTTGTTTTTTTGGAGACAGGCTCTTGCTCTGTAGCCCAGGCACAATCACAGCCTCCTGCAGCCTCGACTTCCTGGACTGAAGTGATCCTCCCACCTCAGCCCCCTGAGTAGCTGGGACTGTAGGCGCTTGCCACCACACCTAGCTAATTTTTGTATTCTTTGTAGAGATGGGGTCTCATGATGTTGCCCAGGAGTTCTAGACTACTGGGTTCAAGCCATCCTCCCACCATGGCCTCACAAAGTGCTAGGATTACAGGCATGAGCCACTACACCTGGCATTCAATCAATATCTTTTTTTAAAAAAGGTATTTATAGATTAGTAAATCTATAATGATTACATGGTTAGATGATTAAATAGAAAAGAATAGCAAGGTCAGATTATAAGATGGTGGTTTTCACAGCTGGGAAGTGTTAAAAATACATTTACTCTTTTTTGATTCAATAATTTTGGATGCTTTTGTATTCTTTGGGTCTCATTAAATGTTAGTGAAAACTGATGGGATCCTTCATTGACTGGTAAGATCTCTCTCTTCCTCTCATTTTTTTGGATTGCCTTTTTTTGAGATGAGGTCTCACTCTGTCACCCAGGCTGAAGTGCAGTGGCATGATCTCAGCTCACTGCAACCTCTACCTCCCTGACTCAATTGATCCTCCCACATCAGCCTCCTGAGTAGCTGGGACTACAGGCATGTGCCACCAAGCCCGGCTAATTTTTTTATTTTTTGTAGAGATGGAGTTTCGCCCCAGCCATGTTGCTCAGGTTAGTCTTGAACTCCTGAGCACAAGTGATCCTCCTGCCTCGGCCTCCCAAAGTGTTGGGATTACAGGTGTGAGCCACCTCACCTGGTCTACCCAAGAAATTTTACCAGAGGGAATTTTATATAGGGAGTCAGTTACACAGATGTGGAGAAGGTTGAAAGATCAGAAAAGGGATACTGAGACAACCTAGATAGAGTGACTGCAGGAGGCAGCTGGACCACCAAGTCCAGGTATGGGTGGTTCCTTCTGCTTGACGAGGAAAGGAGCCCAGGGAAAGAGCAGACTCATAGCTTCAGTGAGAAGGGTAGGGATGTAGAGGTCATGATTCCCATTCCAGGCCAAGAAGCAGCAGCTAGAACACATCTACCAGGGAAAGCCCCCTGCTGACCACCAATGGGCACAAAGGAAAGTGATAGAGGAACAAAGGAAAGAGGCTGATGGAGGTTGAGGTTAACAGAACTTTATTTGTAGCTCAGCGGAAGAGCCCTAGGAACTTGGCACCAGACATATGAGAAGGAAGTCCTGTTCAGCTGATAATGGTAGCTTTGGCAGGATGTGGAGAGACTTATGGAAAAGGTGCCGTAAAAAAAAAGCTAGAAGCTAACATCAGTGGTTGATGCTAAAACAAAATGAGTGCCAGTGTTGGGGTGATATGTCACTGCTAGGGTGATGTTGATAGGATCAGTGTGCAAACTGCAAGAAGATAGGGGTGTGTGTGTGTGTGTTTGTGTGTTTGCTGCCAAAGTTTTTGTTTCTGTTACTGGTCATAAGGCCATAGTTGATACTGTGAGTTTCTTCTTTCACTATTTATTCTGTATTCCCTGTTTTCAGCCAGCACCTCAAATGGTCAGGGTTTTTTTTTGTTTTTGTTTTTTTTTGTTGTTGTTGTTTTTTTACCTGGTGAAGCATCTTTCACCTTCATTTTTGAAGAGTCAGAATCCTCAGTTTACCTGCTTTTTGATTAGTTGTAATTTTCCATTCTTACTAGACATGCCCCAGAAAATCTCCTGGGCTCCAGTCATAGTCCATAGTGTAGCAGCAGCCCAATTTTTTTCTTGGTAATCAGGACCAGTCACTCTATCCGGTACTCCTTCCCTAGGTGGTAATTCAGTGCCATGAGGAGTACAAAATGGCCAAGCAACATTCTCAAGTTCCAATTCAATGGAAGTGTTGTGGAAATGTTACATCTTTGGGAACCATGATTTCTGAACCATCAGCACCCAAAGTTGTAGGAGGCAAAAGTTTAGTAAGCTGTTAGGCATGTAAGAGGAATCACTGTCAACACTTAATTCCCATACATGTGTTTTCTGGCAGTATGAAAAATAGTGTGGTGTTTTGGACACTGATATAAAGCATTTATACCACATACTTTAAGGAGGACCCCCAAGCTTTGAGGTTGTCTCCTAACCAGTGTCATAACTGAATCTTTAGTAAGTCATTCTGTTGTTCTGCCAAGCTAGCTGCTCCTAGGTAATGGCATACACGATGATCCCAGTGCTGCACTTCTTTTGCTGTGAAACAAGTTCCTTAGTTAGAACCAAGGTTGTGTGGGAAGCCATCAATATGGTATTCGCAAAGTCCATGAATGGTGGTCCTGACAGATGCATTGCTGTCAGGCAAGTCAAGTTCCTATTTAGAAAAGTGTCTTTTTCAGAGAAGATAGATCACTGCCCCCTCCATGATGGAAATATTTTATTACCAGGTCCCTGGGAAATGGCACCTTATTGGGGACTCAATATTAGTCTGTGTCATTTGCAGTTTAGGCACTCCATAGTTTCTCTAGCTAGATGCAGCCTTGGTGAGGGGCAGTCCATGTTGTGGTGTCCATGCTTAACCTCCATCTCTGTTGACATGGCCACATTGTACATTAATGCATCAAGCAGCCTCAGTAGCAAGGGAAAAAAAGCTGACTGAACAATGTCTTCTTATCTATGTTATTAAGATCCTTTTTTTAAATTGCTTAGCCTTTAGAGAATATTCACTTAAGAAACAAATATATTTAGCCAGGTACGGTGGCTCACGCCTGTAATCCCAGCACTTTGGGAGGCCAAGGCGGGTGGATCGCCTGAGGTCAGGAGTTCAAGACCAGCCTGGCCAACATAGTGAAACCCTGTCTCTACTCAAAATACAAAAAAAAAAAAAAAAAAATAGCTGGGTGAGGTGGTGGGCACCTGTAATCCCAGCTACTTGGGTGGCTGAGGCAGGAGAATCGCTTGAACCTGGGAGGCAGAGGTTGCAGTGAGGCAAGATTGCACCATTTCACTCCAGCCTGGGCAACAAGAGTGAAACTCTGTCTCCAAACAAACAAACAAAACCAAATATGTTTATATTCTGTGTGCATTCTAAAGGATCTGTTTTCATATCTCTTCTCTAGACTTTCTTGTCACCCAGTTTTCCAATTTTATTCTTTTCAGGACCTGAACAGCTGGCCAACCCACCATCTATTGCCTATGATTCAATGTAGATTTATACCTCAGGCTATCTCTCCTTCCAGATGAAGTGGTGAACGTAGTACAACATTAAGTTCTCCCCAGTGGGGGGCTTTTCTTTCACTGCTGTCTTTCAGGGTTATCATTGATTGTGGTCGTAGTACTACAGCAGTGTAATTTTGGCTGGTGCCAGCATATTTTACATAATCATTTTTTCTCTTCCCAGTCCAAATTTTTTTTTCCTCAGTTAACTTAGTTATTTCTTATTTATTGTTGGGAAATACAAAGTACAGCTTTCACCTTCATGTGCTTTCAACCACTGCATTCTAGAAACTTTACCAAGGTGGCAGCCCTTGTATTTTTGTGGTGTGTGTCTGCTAATCCCTAACATGCATGCGTCCTACCAAAGTATCAAAGTATAGGTTTAGTTTTCCTTATTTGAAGTGCATAGGACCAGAAGTATTTCACATTTCAGTTTTTTTCAGATTTGAGAATATTTGCATTATACGTACTGGTTGGTTGAGCATTCCTAATCTAAAAATCTGATATCCAAAATGTTCCAGTAAACATTTCCTTTGAGTGTTAATGTCAGTGCTCAAAAAGTTTCAGATTTTGGAACATTTCAGATTTCAGACTTATGGATTAGGGAGACTTAACCTATACTTGCTGCTTATGCAATTCAGGACCAATCTATGTTGTCATCAGTGTAGTATCGTTCTTTGGAATGTCAAGTTAATCAAGATCTCTATAGACTATTATTATGACAAAGAGCGGGAGAGTTGATGTAATCTTTAGGAAGACAATGAAGGTATTAGTCTACCCTGCTGTGTGAAAGCAAAATGCACGTCCCAGTGCTTACAAATTAGTATAGAAAATAAAACACGTATGCAAGATCATTTGTTTCCAGTGGTCCCTTCTTACGTTACAGTCCTAACTCCATGGATCAGGAAAGCAATATGGAATATCTACCAGTTACCGAGTGTGTTTTTTTCTATTATACCTCCAGGGCCTAGGGAAATAACTGCAGGATAGACTGACTGACTGATCAAATTTACTGTGAGTTGATTTGGGCCAAAACTTCACTTCCAATTCTAATTTTTCACTTTTGTAAATTCCCCAGTAATTAGCATCATTTTAGAGTTAGCATCTAGTAATCTCCTAAAAATCTGGATATTTTCTTTTTATTGGCACACAGATACTCTAGTAAACAGCTGCAAGTGTCTTAATGGAAATCTTAGAGGAAAATTTACAATAAGTACCTGTGGCACTGTTGTGTTTTAGGGGACCATGCCTCATTTAATCCAGGGGCTTTATGTCTGTGAACCAACTTGTGTTTGGAAACCGGAAGTGACTGTGGTTCTCCACAGTGGTCACTGAAGTCAGGATTTAGGCTACCAAGTCTGGGGTTTCTACTGTTTATAGATCAAGTAGTATTTTAGTAGACTGACCTTTAATTTTGTTCCTTAAAAATACCATGCTCAGTTCGAGACTCCGCCATAAAAAAAAAGAAAACAAACAAAAACAAACAAAAAAACCCATGCTCAGTTAAGTACTTCTAAAGGTCTCTGCAGGTCTTGTACATCACAACCTTCTGATTGCCACTTTCTGTCCATGCTGTGCATTAACATGATTGTTCTTACCTTTTCTCTGTCAAATTTTGCCATTTGACCTCTGCCATTCTGGAATCTGATTAGCTTGTTCAGGAGTCTTTCTCAATCGTGTCATCTCCCCATGTCATTCCCAACTCACAGAAAACAGTCACCACAGAGTTTTTCAAATACAGATTCCCTTACTAATGTATTTTAAAATGCTTTAATGCAGTATCCTCCAGGACCTCATGGATGATGTATAGGATGGTATGTATATATTCAGGTTATACATGGTAAATCTACTTCAGCATTCCTGTTTCTTTAAGCATCTATATTTCTTCTGCATTATGCTAGGAAGGTTCAGGCATCTCATCCTCATGAAATGTGGACTCTTTTGAGAGTTTTCATTTAGCCAATAGTAAACTATTAAGAGTTTAAGCTAAGAGCTTTCACAGAAGTGGAGGCTAGCCTTCTCAGTCATGGGAGAAGGAGCTGTTCACCCAGGTATCCTCATTCCATATCTTAGGGCCTCACTCCTTCCAAAACAAAGGAAACTTAGAAAGTATGTTTATTCAACTTTCACCATAATTCTACAATCTGCAAAATTAAATTTTGGACCCAATTCTTGGCAGAGTTGTACCTATGGTTACAAGTAAGAAACTTTTAAAAAGGCTATTTTTAAAATTTTGTAGCTATCTTGTCATGACCTGAGCTGAAAGTTAAAAACTTACAAACTCTGTATCATTTTCTTTTTTAAGTCTCCGAGTCAGAAGCAGCCATCCTCGAGTCCTTGGTGTCATTATTACCATCAAAATAGTCAAGTCAGACAGTCATATGGTTGTCTTAGACACTTGTTTCAATAGGCATATCATCGTAATTAGCTATGGGTGATAATGCAAAAATCATTATGCCAATGCATGGAATGGATCACTAGTATCCCATTTATTATTGACAAGGAGCTAGCAGTGAATTGAAGGTCAAGGACACATAATCAAGCCAATTCTTGAATCTTGTCCTTGAAAGTATGTTTCCTGGGAACTCTTCACTGTATCAGGATCCAATCAGGAAAATGAAACATGCTAGATATTTCAGCAGAGGAAATTTAAGGTAGGATTGGTTACATAGGTATAGAAGACTGAAAGAGCAAAAAGTGGTAACATGGATATGATAAATGCCAGAGGAAGCTACCACTGTTAGGTTTAGGGAACAGAGGGGTTAACAGAATCATGAAGCGCAGAGGAGACTCATGAAGCTGGGGATCAGACCTCTGTGAATGTACACTGTCCAGCTGCTGCTCATGTCTAAGGGAATATCAAGAAGCTGGTTATAAGAATGCTGAAAAGAGCAGAAGACCTACAGGGTGATACTGATGGAAATGAATGCAAGCAGGAAAAAAGAAGTCTCTCCTCCCCTCTTTACTAATCTCTACTAATCTCCTCCCCTCTTTAACTACTAATCTCTAGATAGTGTCTCCTCTTGGTAGAATCTAACAGGAAACCATCTAGCAGAAGAAAATACAGTTTTGCAGAATACTGGCCCCAGCATCACAGAGTAGACTATATAGAAAGGTGGATTTGAAGTCAAAAAACAGTAAGTCAGTGACTAGCTTTTTCTTAGGTTTTTCTTCAGTTCTGAGAAGTTATGACAAGCTTTAGATGTGAAATGTCATCGCACAGATTCTGTTCATAGATATTTAAGAGCTCACTTTGGATTTCAGCTGTGGCATTCTTTCCTGCCTTTGGACATTTTCTTGGTTCCCATGTTTTTTTGTACAAGATTACTTTCTTTGAATTTAACAACTAGGAGAAAGGGTAGATTTTTGTCTTGGATCAGTGATTACTGGAGTATCTGAGCTCTGTTGATTGAAAAACTAACTGTTTTTGAACTTTTTGGAGTATGATTTACAATGAGAAATACTTGGAGTCCCAAACACACATATACATCTATGTAACAGAATAAAAAGTTTTATGGAACAATAGTTGGTCCTGTTAAGTGACACATACTGATAATTTCTATTCTAATCTTTAAAAGACTGATCACAACTCACCAAGTCGACTATGTAATCTATAGTTTGATGAACACTGTTCAAAGCAATAGTATGAAGGAAATTAAATATAAAATAAATATAAATATAAATATTTTTCTGCTTAATTGTATGAACAATTGAACATTGTTCTTAAATTCAGGTTGAGAGGAAAGATGTTTTAGAGCTGGTCTTGAGTTCTAGTGGTCGTGGAAGATACATACAATACTGATGTTACAACTGAAACACTCCTATGGTTCTCTCTCTCCCCACCACCTTCTCTCAGAGAGTTAAAAAAAAAAAGAAGTGGCAATACATAAGATAAATTAAGTCAGAGAAAAGTCAAATTTTAAAATAATTATTCCTCTACTCGTTAGTTTGGCAAATATTTGAGTGCCTCCTATGTATAAAATCTTAAGCTCAGGGCAGAGGATACAGCCATTAAAAACACAAATAAAGCCGGGTGCGGTGGCTCACGCCTGTAATCCCTGCACTTTGGGAGGCCGAGGCAGGCGGATCATGAGGTCAGGAGTTCGAGCCCAGCCTGGCCAATACAGTGAAAGCCCGTGTCTACTAAAAATACAAAAATTAGCCAGGCGTGGTGGCGCACACCTGTAGTCCCAGCTACTCAGGAGGCTGAGGTAGGAGAATCACTTGAACCCAGGAGGTGGAGGCTGCAGTGAGCCAAGATCATCCCACTGCACTCCAGCCCAGGCAACAGTGTCTCAAAAAAACAAACAAAAAACAAAACATACAAATAAGAGCTTTATTCTTGTGGTACTTATATTCCAGTGGAGACATAGATGTCAAATCATTAATCATACTACTAACTTTATAGTTAGTAGTGTGGAATTAGACCTAGTGCCCTGAGTTGAAAAACATTCAATCTGAGATATGAAAGGTTGAGTATAATTTGTTAGAAGAAAGATAGAAGTGGATGGGTAATGGAGGAAAGGATATTCTTAGAGGGAATAGCCTGTGTTCCTCTGTGAAACGGGAATGATTAAGGTGAGAGAAGAAATGAAAGACCATGCGCCTGTTAGCATAGAGGGCTGGAGATAGTGTAGCACAAGAAGATGGAAAGCTAGGTAGGATTCAGATCATACAGGGCCTCATACGCCACTTTAAGTATGTATCTGAAGAGTAAAGGAGAGTAGGGTTGAGAAAGAGAATGATATGAAGACATTTGTGTCTTTAATTTCACTCTAGGGGCATGATGGAATGGAATTCAGTGTTGCAGGAGTACATATAAAGGGATTAGTTAGGAGGCAATTGCATTAGTTCATACAGGAGGTAATTGTGGCTTGGACTAGAGTGGCAGCATCAGAGGGTAAAGGTGGATGACTTATACAAAACATACTTAGGAGATATAATTTAAAGGACTGATTAGGTATGTGGGATGAAAGAGAAGAAGGGATCAAGGATAACACCACAGGTTTCTGGATTGAGTTGATACTAGGAGTAATGGAGGAGGGTCAGACTTGAGGAAATACTAATGAACTAAGCTGTGGACATACTGAGTTGGGGGTCCGGGATCTTACTAAGTACCAGATGTTGTGCAAATATAATTATTGTTCCCATTTTACAAACGGGACAGCTATTAAGTGGGTAGAGCCAGGATTTCATTTTTACTTTTTAAGAAGGGAGAGATTTGAACATTTTTAAGTGTTACTCAAAAGAATCCAGAAGAGAAAGAGATGTCAAAGATACTGGATATAAAAGGGATAATACTTAGTGTAGAGCTAATGAGGAGATTATTTTAGCCTGGGTACAGTGGCTCATGCCTGTAATCCCAGCACTTTGGGAGTCAGAAGTGAGAGGATCACTTGAGGCCACGAGTTGAAGACTAGCCCGGGCAACATTAACAAGACTCCGTTTCTACAAAAAAATACAAAAATGAGCTGGGGCTTGGTGGCATGCATGTGTAGTCCCAGCTACTTGGGAGGCTGGGGTGGATTGATTGCTGGAGTCCAGGAGTTTGAGGCTGCAATGAGCCAAGATTGTGCCACTGCTGTCCAGCCTGGATAACAGAGAGAGACCCCATCTCAAACAAACAAACAAAAAGAATTGTTTTAGATTTTGAACAGATTAAAAAAATGATATCCCCTCTATTTTATAGGAAGTGAGAAAGAGAGAGTGCTTATGTGGGCTTGTTTGTGGATTTGATGTTAAGAAGATAAGGGAAATTTCTCTTGATGGCTTTTGTTTTCTTGGCAAAATGGAAAAAGATACCTTTTAACACTGAGATGTGAGATAGGGAGAATTGGGGAGAATTGAGGTTTAAGGACTGTAAAGTTTCAAAATAATCCGTGGAAAGCAGAGTTAATGAGTCAAATAATGATCCAGTGAGTAAATGAGAGTGAGTGAAGAAGACACTGTTCTTAATTTACCGAGTTAAAAATGATGTTTTACCAATATTATAACAACACAAGGTAAAAATCTGATTAAATGCTAAATGATATGATACTGCTAATAAACATAGAAAGGCAAGGATGGGAAGGAGAGTAATGTGGCCTTCAGTCAATGGGAAAGATTTTATGGAGGAAGTAGAACTCAAGTCTGGCCTTGACACACATGTAGGTAAACTTACTTGATAGGAAGAACAACACAAGCCAAGTATGGAGAGGGTCCCTAGTAGTATTCTGTAATGATTTAGTTGACAATAATCCTTCTTTTATGTCAACATTTTAGTGAATATGGAGGTGAGACCATACCAGGACCTGCATTTAATCCAGCAAGTCATCCAGCTTCAGCTCCTACTTCCTCTTCTTCTTCAGCGTTTCGACCTGTAATGCCATCCAGGCAGATTGTAGAAAGGCAACCTCGGATGCTGGACTTCAGGGTTGAATACAGAGACAGAAATGTTGATGTGGTACTTGAAGACACCTGTACTGTTGGTAAGGTTTTTCCTGCCATAAAGCCTTCACAAATAAATAATTAGGTAAACATTCAGGTTATATTTTTTTTATTTCTAGTTGACTACCAGTGCAAGAAGGGAAAAAAAGCAAGTTGAAACTGGTAACTTTCCAATACTGATTATTATGCTTTATTTTTAAATACTGTGTTGAGATTGAGGTAAGTTTGAGAATAATTTTTTTTGTTCCATGCAAGTAGAATGGTATACAATGCTGTTTTAGGGCTGATGCAAATCAAACATCTAAGAGCTTTAAAAAAATACCCTAATCAAGTACATTGCATATCACACTTTACAACTGAGACTTACTCATTTTTCATAGGATATATCTTGATCCTTTTTGTGCTGCTATAACAATACCTGAGACTGGGTAATTTATAAGGAACAGAAATTTATTTTCTCACATTTCTGGAGGCTAAGAAGTCTAAGATTAAGGCTTAGAAGGTTTGATGTCTGGTGAGGGCTGCTCACTGTTTACAATATGGCACGTTGATGCTGTATCCGCCTAAGTGGGGAACATTGTGTCCTCACATGACAGAAACCAGAAGGGCAAAAGGGACAGACTCCCTTCATCAAACTCTTTTTATAAGGGCATCTAATCCCATTAACAAAGCTCTCATTGCCTAATCACCTTTTAAAGGACCTGCGTCTTAATACTACCACATAGACAATACCTGAATTTGGGTGGGGATACATTCAAACCATCACACTATGTTTAATGAGAAATCAGACATGAGACATGTTTCCATCACTTTTCTCTCTGCCAGTTGAAAAAATGCTGTTTTTCAAAAGGAGGTGAAAGTATATGCCTGCCATTTCTGGACAGACTTTACCAAGTTACTATAGTTTAACTATGTTGAACTTACATTTGATTCAGATTATCTGATCCATTTTCATTGTAGAACCACATATTAATTTTCTCTTAATGTGGTTTACCTTAAATCTGAATTCTAGATGTTTCTGGAAATTTCCCTGTTTTCCTTTTAGGGGAGATCCTTGTAGAATTTTATTTCATTAATTGAGTCTTGGAAAGCAAAGCTGTTAAACTCTTAACAGTTCATTCCCAAACACTACTCAGATTATGTTATTCCTTTTCTTAAAGCCATTCAAAAGCTTTCCATTGATTTTAGGATATAATTCAAATCTTTAACATGGCCTATAAGTCCCTGTTTGATCAAGCCCCTACCTGCATTTCTAGTTTCATCTATCACCACTCTCCTAGTTCACTATGCCTATGCCATAATGGACTTATTTCAGTTTACCAAATAGGTCTGGGCCTTTATACTTGTTTCTTCTTCTATGTAGATTATTCTTCTAGATAAACCCCTTCACCCTGTACCCATTTGCATGCCCCCAAATATTCTCCTGTAGATTGTTTTTT
This sequence comes from Homo sapiens, assembly GCF_000001405.40. NCBI lineage: Eukaryota > Metazoa > Chordata > Mammalia > Primates > Hominidae > Homo > Homo sapiens. Next base: position 50,786,601 of record NC_000001.11, on the reverse strand, counting down.
ATTTAAAAAAATTTTGGTAAAAAACACATAATATGAGATTTAGCCTGTCAATATATTTCTAAGTGTACAGCACAAGATTGTTTATGCACTTTTTCATCTTACATAACTGAAACTCTGTACCCATTGGATAGCAACTTTCCATTTTCCCCTCCCTCAAACTCCTGGCAACTGCCATTCTATCTTCTGTTTCTGTAAGTTTGACTATAAATACCTCATAGAAGTGGAATAATGCAGTATTTGCCCGCTGTGATGGCTTATTTCACTTAGCATAATGTCCTCAATGCTTATATATGTTGTAGCATATAGCAGGATTTTCTTCTTCTTAAAAACTGAATAATATTCCATTGTGTGTATATATCACATTTTTTTTAGTCATTAACATCATAAATGGACATTTAGGTTGTTTATACCTTTTGGCTGTTGTGAATAACGCTGCAATGAACATGAGAATGTGATTTTTTTTTTTTTTTGAGACAGGGTCTCACACTGTCACCCAGGCTGGAGTGCAGTGGCGTGATCGCGGCTCACTGTAGCCTCAAACTCTGGGCTCAAGCAGTCCCCCTGCCTTGGCCTCCTGAGTAGCAGGACTATAGGCGTGTGCCACCATGACTGGCTAATTTTTTTTTTTTCTTTGTAGAGAAGGAGTCTCACTTACTTTCTTTCCCAGGCTGGTCTTGAACTCTTGGGCTCAAGTGATCCTCCTGCCTCAGACTCCCAAAGTGTTGGGATTATAGGCATGAGTCACTGTGCCCAGCCATGGGAGTGTGGATATTTCATAGAAATCCTGTTTTCAATTCTGTTGGCAGTATGTTCAAAAGTGGGATTGCTGGATTAGATGGTAGTTTAATTTATAATTTTTTGAGGAACTTCCATACTGTTTCCTATAGCAGCTACACCATTTTACATTCCAACCCCAACTTTGTTAACACTTATTATTTTCTGTTTTTCTTTTCTCTTTTCTTTCCCTTTTCTTTTCTTTCCTTTTTTTTTTGTATAGTAGCCATCCTAAAAGATGTGAAGTGGTAGCTCATTGTGGGTTTGATTTATATTTGTCTGATTAGTGATGTTGAGTATCTTTTCATATACCTGTTGGCCATTTGTATGTCTTTTTTGGAGAAATGTCTATTCAAGTCCTTTGTCCATTTTTTTAAATGGGTTATTTGATATTTTATTGTTGAGTTATAGAAGTTTTTCTGTATTTTGTATTTTAACCCCTTATTAGATATATGGTTCACACATGTTTCCTCTCATTCTGTAGGTTGCCTTTTTACTCTGTTGTTTACTTTTCTGTGCAGAAGCTTTTTAATTTGATAAAGTCCCACTTGTCTATTTTTTCTTTCATTGCCTCTGCTTTTGGAGTCATTTCCAAAAAACCATTGCCAAGATCAGTGTTATAAAGCATTTCCTCTCTTCTGCTTTCTTCTACAAGTTTTATAGTTTCAAGTCTTTTTTTTTTTTTTTTTTTTTTTGAGATAGGGTCTTGCTCTGTCACCCAGGCTGGAGGACAGTAGCAAGGTCTTTGCTCGTATAGTTTCAAGTCTTATGTTTATGTCTTTAATTCACACAATACCATGAGATGATGTTTGTGTATGTTATGAGGTTATGAGGTTCCAAGTTCTTTTGCATGTGGATATCCAGTTTTCCCAGTACCATTTTTTGAAGAAACTATCCTTTCCACATTGTGGGGTCTTGGCACTCTAGTCAAAGATCATTTGACTGTATACGTGTGGGTTTATTTTTGGGATTTCAGTTTTGTTCTATTAGTTGGTGTGTCTGTCTTTATGCCACTAACAAACTGATCTAATTACTCTAGCTTTGTAATATGTTTTGGAGTTAGGAAGTAGGAGGCCTCCAGCTTTGTTCTTCTTTCTCACAATTGTGTTTGGAGTTCCTTGTGGTTACTTATGATATTTAGGATTATTTCCTTATTTCTGCAAAAAATACCATTGGGCTTTTGATAGAGATTGCATTGAATCTGCAGATCACTTTGGATAGTATGGACATTTTAACAATGTTAAATTTTTCAGTCCATGACCATGGGAAGCTTTTCCAGTGTCGTCTTTAATTTCTTTCAGCAATGTTTTGTAGTTTTTAGTGGACAAGTCTTTTGTCTCTGGATAAGTTTATTCATAAGCATTTTATTCTTTTTGAAGCTATTGTAAATGGGACTGTTTTCTTAATTTTCTTTTCAGATTGTTCAGTGTTAGTATATAGAAATGCAGCTGATTTTTATGTGTTGATTTTGCATCTTATAAAAGATTGATGAATTTTGTATTATTTATTAGTTCTAAGTTTTTTTTTTCTTTGGTAGAATCCTTAGTGTTTTCTACATATAATATCATGTTGTCTGTAAACAAAGATAGTTGTATTTCTTCCTTTCCAATTTGGATGTCTTTTGTTTTTCTTGCTTAATTGTTCTATCTAGGCTTTCCAGTACTACGTTGAATAGAAGTGGTGAGAAGGTATCCTAGCTTGTTCCTGATGTTAGAAGAAAACCTTTTAGTTCTTAACCCTTGAATATGATGTTAGCTGTGGGACTTTCATATATGGCATTTATTATGTAGAGGTTATTTCCTTTTATTTCTAGTTTGTTCAGTATTATGAAAATATGTTGACTTCTGTCAAAAGCTTTTTGTTTATTGAGATGATTGTGTGACATTTATCCTTCTTGCTTTTAATGTGGTGTATCACATTGATTGATTTTCATATGTTGTTGTTGTTGTTTTTGAGATGGAGTCTCACTCTGTCACCCAGGCTGGAGTGCAGTGGTGTGATCTTGGTTCACTGCAACCTCCGCCTCCTAGGTTCAAGTGATTCTCATGCCTCGGCCCCCTCAGTAGCTGTGATTACAGGCACACAGCCACCATGCCTGGCTAATTTTTGTATTTTTAGTAGAGATGGGGTTTCGTCATGTTGGCCAGGCTGTTCTCAAACTCCTGATCTCAAGTGATCCGCCCACCTCAGCCTCCCAGAGTGCTGGGATTACAGGCGTGAACCACCGCGCCTGGCCGATTTTTTTATGTTAAATAATCCTTTCATCCCAGGGATAAATCTCACTTTGCCATGGTGTGTAATCCTTTTAATGTGCTGTTGAATTTAGTTTCACTTTCAATGTGCTGTTGAATTTAGTTTCGCTAATATTTTGTTGAGGATCTTTGCATCTGTATTTATCAGGGATATTGGACTGTAGTTTTCTTTTCGTCTGATAGCTTCTTTGGCTTTGGTATTGATGTAATGCTGGCCTCGTGAAAGAAGTTAGGAAGTATTCCCTCCTTCAGTTTTTCGGAAGAGTGTGAGAAGGCTTGGCAGTAATTCTTTAAATGTTCGGTAACATGCCCTAATGTTACCATCTGCATGTTTCTTTGTTGGGAGATTTTTGATTACTGATTCACTCTCTATAACAGACTAGTTGTATGTCTGTTCAGATTTTCTGTTTCTTCACGATTCAGTCTTGGTAGGTTGTATGTTTCTAGGAATTTATCCATTTCTTCTATGTTATCTAATTTGTTGGCATATGATTTTTCATAGTAGTCTGTTATAATTATTTTTAATTTAATTTTTCTGTTTTTTTCTTACTCTAGATAAAGGTTGATGAACTTGGTTGATCTTTAAAAAAAACACTCAGTATTGTTGATTTTTTTCCTATTATTTCTGTATATTAAAATATGGTATAAAAAGTAACACCTTAATGGGATGCTTACTATGAATGGAGTGTGCAGTACTGGAAGTTGCTCTCAATGAGTGAGCAGTGAGTGAATGTGAAGACTTAGGACATTACTGTACATTGATGCAGACTTTATAAGCACTGTACTCCTAGGCTACCCTAAATTTATTAAAAAATATATTTCTTTAATAAGAATTAACCTTAGCTTACTGTAACTTTTCTACTTTATAAATTTTAAAACTTTTAAAACTTTTTGAGGATGGGCACAGTAGCTCATGCCAGTAATCCCAGCATTTTGGGAGGCCTAGGTGGGAGGATTGCTGGAGCTCAGGAATTTGAGACCAGCCTGGGTAACATAACGAGACCTTGTCTCTACTTTAAAAAATAAAAATAAAAAATTTTTTGACATTTTTATAACACCTTGCTGAGAACACACATTGTACAGTTGTACAAATGTTTTTTTCTTTATATCCTTTTTCTGTAAGCTTTTTTGTTTTGAAATTTTTTAATTATTATTTTTTAACTTTTAAAACTTTTCTGTTAAAAACTAAGACACGAACACACACATTACCTAGGCCTACCACAGGGTCAGGATCATCAATATCACTGTTTTCCACTTCCACATCTTGTCCTACTGGAAGGTTTTCAGAGGCAGTAACAGACATAGAGGTGTCATCTGCTATGGGTAATGATACCTTTAGAATACTTCCTGAAGGACTAGCCTGAGCCTGTTTTACCGTTAACTTAAAAAAAACAAAAAGAAAGTGTATACTTTAAAATAACAATAAAAAGTATAGTATAGTGAATACATAAACCAGTAACATATGTATTATCATTATCAAGTATTATGTACTATATACGATTCTATGTGCTATACTTTTATATTACTGGCAGTGCAGTAGGTTTGTTTATACCAGCATCACCAAAAATTTATGAATAATGTATTGTGCTACAATGTTACAGTGGCTAAGATGTCACTAGATGATAGGAGTTATTCAGCTCAGGACCACCTTGGTATAATATATGTGGTCATTGTTGATGGAAACATTGTTATGAGGAGCATGACTGTATCTGTGACTTTTCCAGTTTTCCTTCTGTTATTGTTTAGTTTTTGCTTCATTTTATTTTGGTTGCGAAGGACACTTAATATGATTTCAGTCATCTTAAGTTTAAGACTTTTTTATGGAGTAATATGTGCTATATCATAGAATATTCTCTGCACTTGAGAAGAGTGTGTATTCTGCTGTGATAGAATGGATGTTCAGTATATGTCTGTTAGATCTGTTTGGTTGATAGCATTGTTCAAGTCCTCAGTTTCCATATTGATCATCTGGTCTGGATATTTCTATTCATTATTGAAAATGGGGTGTTGAAATCTCCCACTATAAGTATGTTGGTGTCTGTTTTTCCCTTCAGTTTTGTCAGTGTTTGCTTCATATATTTGGGTACTTCAGTATTGGATGCATATATATTTATGGATATCTTCCTGGTGAATTGACCATTTTATCATTATATAATGTCTTTCTTTATCTCCTGTGACAGTTTTTTACTTAAACTCTATTTCGTTTGATATAAATATGACACCCCCTACTTTCTTTTTATTACCATTCCCATGGAGTATCTTTTTTTTTTTCTTTTTGAAGTGATTTTACTTTTATTTACTTCACTTTAAGCCAATCATGAAATTTCACAGTGATTTCTGGGGTGGAGGCAGAAAGAAGGTGGTGGTAAGAATCACTGAGGCTCTGGCCTAGTTGGCCAAAGAGGTGCAGGCAGGGTAGACCCTCACCGGGGCACCCGGAGGAGTATTGACTGCCCTGGCAGCAGGTAAATGATGTCCTGAGAGTGTGAGAGCTGGTACTCAATGTCCTCTGTGACTTCCATCTTGCACAGTTCAATCAGGCTGTCACCCACAGTGGCCAGTGAGTTGGCAATCAGCTAAGCTGCCTTGGAGTCACCCTTGGCAGAGATGATGACCTCCTGTTCCTGCTGCTCAGCCTTTTCCACCACAATTCTGGCCCTGTCTGCTTCCTGCTGAGCCATGTGTTTGGCTTCCACCACTTCTGTGACTCCTCCTGAAGGTAAGATGCATCAAGGACACGTTATCCAGGATAAACCCAAAGGTGGCTGCTCACTCCGTAAGTCCATCACTCACCTGTGTGGAGACCAGCTCCCTCGGGGTGATTTGTTCTCCAGCATCAGAGCAAGTCACCACTGACTTGAGGATTTCTGTGATGATAGGTGGCAGCACATGCTCATCATAGTCCTCTCTGATACTGATGAAGATGTGAGGAAGCTGGCTAGAGACAGGCTGGAAGAGGATGTGCAGTTACACTGACATTCTGTAAATTTTTGCTACCAGTGATGATTGGCATGTTGTGTGGTCAAGAGTGAAAGTCAAAGATCATTGGTTTCCGTACCCAGGGGATGAGAAAGTGAGTCCCTGTCTCTACCGGTGTTGTGTGCTCCATGGGATCGGTCAAAGATGATAGCTCTGTACCCAGCATCCACATTATATGAGGCAGAGTTCACCACACTTTCTGGTATGGCTAAGGCCAGGTCAAACTTGGTGATGGACTAAAACCCTTTGGCAGCTATATTTCCTTCTGCTGGACCCTCTCACACCTGCTTCCACTCTGACCTCCACATGAATTCCCCAGCTATACATTGGGGTATCTTTTTGTATCTTTTCATTTTCAGACTTTGCATGTCCATAAATCTAAAGTGAGTCTATTGTAATCAGCATATAATTGGGTCTTGTTTTTATATCCATTCACCTACTTTATGTCTTTTGGTTGGGAAGTTTAATCCATTTAAATTTAAAGCAATTACTGATAGGAAAGGACTTACTGTCAACATTTTCTTATATGTTTTCTGTCTTGTAGATCCCCCTACACTTCCTCTTTTACTTCCTCTGTGTGTGTGTGTGTGTGTGTGTGTGTGTGTCTGTCTGTCTGTGCATGTGTGCTTGTAGTGATATGCTTTGATTCCTTTTTTTTCTTTTTCTTTTTCTTTTTTTAAGAGACAGGCTCTCACTAAGCGGCCCAGGCTGGTCTTGAATTCCCTGGTTCAAGTGATCCTTCTGCCTTAGCCTCCTGAGTAGCTGGGATGACAGGTGTGCACCACTGCACCCAGCTCTTTTCTAATTTTTAAAAAATGTATTATCTATGGTTTCCATAAGACATCTTATAGTTATATGAATCTATTTTAAGCTGGTAACAATCTAACTTCAGTCACATACAAATACTCTTTTACTTCCCTCCACCCCCAAACGTTTTTTTGTTATTGGTGTCACAAATTATATTTTTTAAAATTTTGTATTCATTTACATATTTTATAGAGTATTTTATATATAATTTTCTATATTTATCTCATATCTAAATATATATTTAGATATCAATATATACAGGGAGATTGATAGTATCTTCCCGCCTGCTAACACAGTATCAGTTCTGCAGCCCATGGATCATGGAGTAATTTCAAATTTCAAGTCTTGTTATTCAAGAAATACATTTCATAAGGCTGTAGCTGCCATATGTAGTGATTCTTCTGATGGATTTTGGCAAAGTACATTGAAAACCATCTGGAAAGGACTCACCATTCTAAGATACCATGAAGAACACTCATGATTCATGGGAGGAGGTCAAGATATCAACATTAATAGGAGTTTGGAAGAAGCTGATTTCAACCTTCATGGATGACTTTGAGGAGTTCAGGACTTTAGTGGAGGAAGTAACTGCAGATCTGGTAGAAATAGCAAAAGAATTAGAAGAGGAGCCTGAAGACGTGACTGAATTGCTGCAGTCTCATAAAACTTGGATGGAAGAGCAAACAAAATGGTTTCTTGAGATGTAATCTATTGCTGATGAAGACGCTATGCATAAACATGGTTGAAATGACAAAAAAAGGATTTAGAATGTGACATAAACTTAATTGATAAAACAGTGGCAGGGTTTGAGAGAATTGACTCCAACTGTAAAAGAAATTCTAGTGTGGGTAAAATACTATCAAACAGCATCATATGTTACAGCAAAACTTTTCATGAAAGGAAGTTAATCGATGCAGCAAGCTCTATTTGTGTGTGTGTGTGTGTGTGTGTCTGTGTGTTTTGTTTTTTTAAGGGATGGTCTTGCTCTGTCACTCAGGCTGAAGTGCAGTGGCACACTCTTAGTTTACTGTGGCCTTGAACTCCTGGGCACAAGCAAATTTTCTACTGTCTCTGCCAGCCCTGAGATAGCAAGACCAACCCCTCCCCTTCCTCCTTCTCTTCAGTTTGTTCAACATGAAGACAGTGAGGAAGATGATCCACTTTCACTTAATGAATAGTAAATATATTTTGGATTTCTTAATAACATTTTCTTTTCTCTAGTTTATTGTGGGAAATGTATATATAATGCACATAATGTACCAAAGATTTGTTAATCAGTGGTTTATGTTATCAGTAAGGTTTCTGGTCAACAGTAGGCTATTAGTAAGTTTTTGGAGAGTCAAAAGCTATACCTAGATTTTTGACTGTGTGGAAGGATTGGTACCCTAACCTCCCCACCCCCATTATTCAAGAGTCAATTATATGTAAATATTAAATTTATACCCTTGGAACCACCACCACCCAGATCCAGATAGAGAATATTTATTGCACGTTAGAAGCCTCTCTCATTCCTCCTACTAGCAATTTAATCTCCCCTCTGAAACCACTGTTTTGACCTTTGTCACCTTGGATTGCATTTGTGTATTTTGACCTTCGTATAATTGAAATCATACATTGTATACTGTGTTTAACTTCTTTCACTCAATATTATGTCTTTGAGATTCAATAATTCATTCATTCTAATTGCTATGTAGAATTCTATTATATGAAAATACCATAAATTACCCATTCTACTGGTGATAGATATTTGGGTTCTTTCTAGCGTTACCAAGCTGCTGTGAACATTCTTGTACATGTTTTTGGCATACATAAACATTCTTCTTTTGACCTTCAAGTGGAGCTGCTGAATCATAGCGTGAAGATATATGTTTGTTTAGAGTTAGCAGGTGTAGCAAAACATTTTTATAAAATGGTCGAACCAATTTACTTCCACCAGTAGAACAGGGTTCCAGTTACTCCCTATCCTTGCCATCACTTAATCTGGTTAATCTTTTCAATTTTAGTCATATTCCTGATCCTTTCTGAATTTCCTTTTTTTTTTTTTTTCTTAAAATGAATTCAGGTTCCAAAGTTCATTTTGAATTTAGCCCTCATAACAGGCTGGAAATCTTTTTTCTAACTTGGTAGCCATCTGCATTCTTATTTCAGATTGATTGTCCAAACTTATCAAATTTTCTTAGCTGCATTGAGGATACCTCTGGTATAGTTTACCGTATCTGTGTTTTTTCATTTTTTTCCAGTTTAAGGTCCCCTTGAAAAAATATTTTTATAGTGTTGACTTAGGAAATATATAATAATGAAATGCAGTTACAAATTCACTATGGCATTTTTGAATTCATGTGACTTGAAATGATTTTTTTCTCTTAAGTGACAGAGTCTTGCTGTGTCACCCAGGTTGGAATGCAGTGATATGACCATAGCTCACTGTTGAGCTTGAACTCCTAGGCTCAAGTGATCCTCCCACCCACCTCAGCTTCCCGAGTGCTGGGACTACAGGCGCACGCCACCATGTTTGGCAAATTTTTTTTTTTTTCACTTTTTGAAGAAATGGGGTCTCATTTTGTTGCCCAGGCTGTTCTTGAACTCCTGGCCTCATGTGATTCTCCTGCCTTGGCCTCCTAAAGGACTGGGATTACAGGTGTGAGCCAACTTGACAGCCTATATTATTTATTTTATTTTTTATTATTATCATTTTTGTAGATGGGGTCTCACTATGTGCCCAGACTGGTCTTGAACTCTTGGGCTCAAGCAATCCCCCCACCTCAGTCTCCCAAAGTGCTAGGATTAGAGGTATGAGCTACTTACCCTGGCTGATTCTGTATATTTTTTTTTAAATCACCAAACTTCCTCTGTTGACGTTTTAAAAGTAATGTTATTTATCTTTACAATATCAGTTGGTCAGAATTGATGATGCTTCTTGTTTGTATGGATTTTTAGTAGTATTGCTAAGGCATCTCGGGTTTATTAGTTGGGAACCACTGAAAGGGATATGATTTAGCCTTTACTTTCTTAGTTTAATGACAAATATTTCTATTATCCAAGGGGGCAAATTCAGTGCCACATCACACTTTTTCTTTTAAATCTTAAAATTACCTCAGATTTTTTTTTTTGTTTTAAGAAAACTGGAATGCAATTATATATTAAATAAATTTTAACTGCCATCTTGTTGCATGTGTCTGTTTCATGTGAGTGAATAGTGTATCACTTCAGAAAAACCTTGTTCTTTTTTTTGATGGACTATTAAGTATTTTTTCAACTAAAAAAAATCCTCTGCTTATTTCGAGTGTGGTGATCAGAAATGGCTGGCTTCTCTGGATTATGTATGTTAATGTTACACTTTAAATATATTAGAGAGAAACCATATAACATGATTCTCTGCCTGCCATATGATTCATAATAAGGTAAAACTATAATCCAGAACAAATAAAACTGGAAGAGCTAGAAGCAGGAGTAGATACATATTGGTTTAAAATTCATTTTGAGTCCAGTTGTATTTATAATGTGTCTGTAGCTGTCTTAATTGTATTTGTTTTCAAACCGAATGACAGCTTGGCTGTTCCTACTCTATCATACTTGAGCATAAGTTAGCTTTTACAGTGGATGATAAAGCCAAAAGTTTACGAAAAGTGATCCCTGGAAGTTCTTTCATATACTTCTGTGATAAAGCTTTAAAATATTTCCAGTCATATTCTTCATAGTTATGGACATACTATAAACACAGTTTGACTCAAAATGAATTTTAAATCAGATATTGTTATTATATGATATCTACCTGCTCCTGCTTCTTCTAGCTGTTCCAGTTTTATTTGTTCTGGATTATAGTTATTGCCTTATGAGTATTATGGCAGGCAGAGAATCATGTTATATACTTTCTCTGTTTTCCCTGTTGGCATGTTTGTATGTGTAACTAGGGAAGGCATACTTAAGGATAATACTTAGACTTGATAGAATTTTTTTCTGACTTCACTGCACTTAGTCAATAAAGTTTTGTGAATTCTATCACATTATGACTGAATCTCTCCTTTTTTTTTCGTCCCCCTTTGTTACAGTTCAAGGATTTCTTTGATTAATTAAGATAATTCCCCTGATTTCCATATGTTCGTTTCTTTCTTCCTTTAGTCCATCTTTTCTATATAGTTGCCCTGTGGTGATTTTTCTAAAACACGCATCTCCTCATGTGCCTTTCAGTGGCTCTGTATTTCCTCTATTCTGTTTGATAAACCTTTTCTTGCTTTAGCTTTCCAGAAAACTCCTACACAGCTTCCAAGATCCCATGTAAATATTTCCTCTTCTATGAAGCCTTTCCTAACCTTTCTGGACATACAGTTAAGTTGAATCATCCGCTATGATCCCATAAAATTTTGTATATGCTTTAAACATGGATTTTAACACATCTTACCCTTTGTGTTTCAGATTTTCCTTATGAATGTTAACTCCTCACACTTAGAGAGCAGGTCTTATTCCTCTCTAGATTCTTTATTCTAGCACAGTGTTTGGCACAGAGTAGTGCTTGTTGAGGAAACAAATGGCTCAATAAATGAGTATATGAATATATGTGTATATATTAATTCATCCATCACAGGAAATTTTAAAAATGTACACTCATTAAAGTTTATGTGACCAGCAATAGAATTATTATAGATATAACTCATTTCAGTGTTACTGAAATTATATAAATAATATTTTTTCTGTAGCTGTATACATATAAATAATACAATGCAAAGAGATGCTCAATCAGATTATGCACCTTTTCCACGTTATTACCAGGAAGATGCAACAAGGTTTGAAAGCGAGCCCAAAGGCAGCTAAGAACTTTGTATCACAGTGACACCTAGTGGTAATTTCACTGGGTTGTTAATGTTTTTAGGGTCCTTATTGCAGTTTCATTTCAATACCCAAAACCTTCTGAATTCTGTTTTCTTATCTTGAATAAATTTAAAGAATTATTTTAAAGCATTTGTCCTCCTATAAAATGGTGTCTGATGTGAAGTATTGTGATCTCTTTGAGGGTAGGGATTATTGTATATTGTTAGATCTCTAAGATCTAGCAATGGATTTAACCTAACATGCAGCTATTTGTTTAATAAAGTTTGTTAAATCAGTGCTGTTAACAAACCTAATTTACTGGAGCCTAGTAGGCATAGCTTTAATTTTGTTTTTGAGATATAGCAGAAAAATAGGTCTGTTATTATTTGAACCATTTATCTTATTTTTTCTCTTTTTGATCTTTCTTAAAGCTACTTTTACTATATTGGATACTATTTTAGTTTTTAAGAACTCAGGTTGAATATGGAAAGATTTAAAACATTTAGCAGGTGCATTTTCAGTCTGAAAAAGTAGTTCAGGTTGTTTCAAACCAGGTTTTGTCCTGAATCTATAAATTCAGATTCTGATCTCGACTCTGTGACTCTTATTAGCTGTATAGTGTTTGGCAAATGCCTTATCCCTCCCCCACATGCCTCAGCCATGCTTTATGAGTAATAAATACTAGTTAAATGTTCTTCTGTTATTAGTACATGTGAAAAGAAGGAAAGAGTGACAATTTTGTGTGTCTTGAAAGATGCTATCAGCATGAAATGACAATGAAATTGATTATAGCTTGTATTTTGGGGGAAGAAAGACAGCAAATGTTGTGTGTTAGTAGTATTGTTTAGTCTACCTGCAAACTGATGTCTGTTGCCTCCGTGCCATCAATTGTGTACTCCCCAAATAATTTATTATTGGGTCATTTTAAAAGCTGAATAAAGTAGCATCTCAAACTGTGGTCTCAATGTGCATAGTTTATTTATGCGTTAGAAATATTCTTTAATTCAGCTTCAGATTTTTAAATTGATGTTTAATAAGTGTGTATGTTTATGAGGTACAATATGATGTTTCAATACATGTGTACATTTTAGAATGAGTAAATACGTATCCGTCATCTCATATACTTACCATTTCTTTGTGGTAAGACTTAAAATCCACCCTTTTAGCAATTTTGAGTGATACATTATTTCTTAACTGTATTCACCTTACTGTGCATTAGATCACCAGAATATTTTCCTTCTGTCTAACTGATCAAAGAGACCCTCTGATTGATATTTTCTCTTTATCCACGGAGCTCACTGTATGCCTTTGCCTCTGGTAACTACCATTATACCCTCTACTTCATATGTGGATTCAGATGTTTAGATTCCATATGTAAGTGAGAGCATGTGTGTGATATTTGTCTTTCTGTGCCTGTCTTATTTCACTTAGCAGAATGTTCTCTAGACTCATTCATGTTGTTGCAAATGACAGAATTTTGTTCTTTTTTAAGGCTGAATAGTATGCCATTGTGTATATACCACATTTTTGTATCTGTTCATCTATTGACGGGCACATAGATTGTTCCCATCTCTTGGCTATCGTGAATAATCCTGCAACGAACAGGGAAGTGCAGACATCTCTTCAACACATTTTAATTACTTTGGCTGCAGACTCAGAAGTGGGATGGCTGGATCTGATGTCACATTTTTAAATGTCATACTTAAAGTAAAAACAGAGTCTCACTCTGTCACCTAGGCTAGAATGCAGTGATGCAGTCATGCCCCACTGAAGCCTCAAACTCCTAGGCTCAAACAATTTTCCCCAGCTGAGCTTCCTGGAATCCTTTGTCCAGAACCTCAAAATACTCACATATTTATAATCCTTTTTTAATTGTAGGTGTTATGTTAAAGCATTTTAAATGTAAACTTATGTCTATAAGTAGCAAGATATACAGGAGTTACATCTTTCAATTAATGATACCAGAATAGTACATAGGGAAAGGCAGTGGGCATTGTCTTGTAGTCTTTGCCATTAAATCATTTCTTGTTCTTGAGTAGCCTTATCCCAAAGTGCTTTTGTTTTTTATTTTAAAAATTTTATTAATTAGATGTTAATGGGTGTCTAATGATATTTATTTTATTTAAAGTTATTTTAGGTTCAGGGGTACATGAGCAGGTTTGTTATATAGGTAAATTGTGTGTCACTGGGGTATGGTGTGCAGATTATTTCATCACCCAGGTAATAAGCATAGTACCTGATAGGTAGTTTTTTTGATCTTCACCCTCCTCCCACTCTCCACTCTCAAGTAGTCCCCAGTGTCTGTTGTTCTTTTCTTTGTGTCCATGTATGCTCAGTGTTTAGCTCCCACTTGTAAGTGAAAACATGCAATATTTGGTTTTCTGTTCCTGTGTTAGTTCGTTTAGAATAATGCCCTCCAGCTCCATCCATATTGCTGCAGAGGACATGATCTCATTCTTTTTTTATGGCTGTGGTGTATTCCATGGTGTAAATGTACGATATTTTCTTCATCCAGTCTACCATTGATGAGTATTTAGGTTAATTCCATGTCTTAGCTATTGTGAATACTGTTGCAATGAACATATGAGTACATGTGTCTTTTATGGTGTGATGATTGATGTTCCTTTGTGTATATACCCAATAATGGGATTGTGGGGTAGGACGGTAATTCTTTCTTAAGTTCTTTGAGAGATTGCCAAACTGCTTTCCACAAAGGCTGAACTAATTTACATTCCCACCAACAGTGTATAAGCATTCCCTTTTCTTAGCAACCTTGCCAGCATCTATTATTTATTTATTTATTTATTTTTCAGAATATTGTTTTTACTAAGGACTTTTATGGTATTATACATTAAAAGACACTGATTAACTTGAGAAAAAAATGTTTCTTGCAGTTGAGCAACATCTACAATTTTTCACTATTATACTTACCTACACGTAATCTTTTTCTGTATTTCCCTACAACTTATCCATAATCTCTGCTTTTTCCCAAGGGCTCTACTTCTGTCAATTTTTTTTGCATTTAGAAGAGAAATTTCAAAATTAAACATAGTTGGCATTTTGTTTGTTTGTTTGTTTTTTGGAGACGGAGTTTCACTCTTATCACCCAGGCTAGCGTGCAATGGCACGATCTTGGCTCACTGCAACCTCCGCCTCCCAGGTTCAAGCAATTCCCCTGCCTCAGCCTCTTGAGTAGCTGGGATTACAGGCGCCCACCACCACGCCCAGCTGATTTTTGTATTTTTACTAGAGAAGGGGTTTCACCATGTTGGCCAGGCTGGTCTTGAACTCCTGACCTCAGGTGATCTGCCCACCTCGGCCTCCCAAAGTGCTGGGATTACAGGTGTGAGCCAGTGTGCTGGGCCCATTATTTTTTGTTTTTAATAATAGCCATTCTGACTGGTATAACATGGTATCTCATTGTGGTTTTGACTTGCATTTCTCTGATAATTAGTGATACTAAGCATTTTGTGTATGCTTTTTTGGCCAAATATATGGCTTCTTTCAAAAAGTATCTGATCGTGTCCTTTGCCTACTTTTTAATGGGGTTGTTTGTTTTTTGCTCATTAATTTAAGTTTCTTATAGATTCTGGATATTAGACCTTTATTGGATGCAAATATCTCCTCCCATTCTGTAGGTTGCAAATATTTTCTCCCATTCTGTAGGTTGTGTGATTACTCTGTTGATAGTTTCTTTTGCTGTGCAGAAGCTCTTTAGTTTAATTGGGTCTCATTTGTCAATTTTTGTTTTTATTGGAATTGCTTTTGATGTCTTTGTTATGAAATCTTTGCCAGGGCCTATGTCCAGAATGGTATCTTCTAGGTTGTCTTCTAGGGTTTTTGTAGTTTTAGGTTTTACATTTGAGTCTTTAATCCATCTTAAGTTGATTTTTGTATATGCTGTAAGGAAGGGGTCCAGTTTCAGTCTTCTGCATATGACTAACCAGCTACCCCAACACCATTTATTGAATAGGGAGCCTTTCCCCATTTGTTTTTGTCAACTTTGTCGAAGATCAGATGGTTGTAGATGTGCAGCATTATTTCTGGGCTCTCCATTCCATGAGTCTGTGTGTCTGTTTTTATACCAGTAACGTGCTGTTATGGTTACTGCAGCCTTGTAGTATAGTTTGAAGTTGGGTAATGTGGTGCCTCCAGCTTTCTGCTTAGGTTCTTTTTGCTTAGGATTATCTTGGCTATTCAGGCTCCTTTTTGGTTCCATATGAATTTTAAAATAGTCTTTTCTAATTGTGTGAAGAATGTCCTTGGTAGTTTGGTAGAAATAGCATTGAATCTGTAAATTGCTCTGGGCAGTATGGCCATTTTCATAATATTCATGCTTCCTATTGAGCATGAAATGTTTTTTCATTTCTTTGTGTCATATCTAATATCTTCATGCAGTCTTTTGTAATTCTCATTGTAGAGATCTTTCACCTCCCTAGTTAGCTGTATTCCTAGGTATTGCATTTCCTTGTGGCTACTGTAAATGAGATTGTGTTCTTGAATTGACTCTCAGCTTGGACATTGTAGGTATGTAGAAATGGTACTGATTTTCGTACATTGATTTTGTATCCTGAAACATTGCTGGAGTTGTTTATCAGAGCTAGTAGCTTTTGGACAGATATTGTGGAGTTTCCTAGGTATACTATCATATCATCTGCAAACAGAGATAGTTTGACTTCCTCTCTTCCTATTTGGATGCCTTTTATTTCTTTCTCTTGCCTGATTGCTCTGGCTAGGACTTCCAGTGCTGTATATGTTGAATAGAGTGGTGAGAGAGGGCATCCTTTTCTTGTTCTGGTTTCAAGGGGAATGCTTCTAACTTTTGCTCAATTCAGTATGATGTTGGCTGTGGGTTTTTCATAGATGGCTCTTAATATTTTGAAGTATGTTTCTTCAGGGCCTAGTTTGTTGAAGGTTTTTTGTTTGTTTTTTTAATACAGAGTCTCACTTTGTTACTCAGGCTGGAGTGCAGTGGCGTGATCTCGGCTCACTGCAACGTCCGCCTCCCGGGTTCAAGTGATTCTCTTGCCTTAGCCTCCCAAGTAGCTGGGACTATAGGCATGGGCCACCACGCGCAGCTAATTTTTGTATTTTTTGTAGAGATGGGGTTTCACCATATTGGCCAGGCTGGTCTCAAACTCCTGACCCCAAGTGATCCACCTGCCTTGGCTTCCCAAAGTGCTGGGATCATAGACGTGAGCCACCACACCCAGCCTGTTGAGGGTTTTTAACGTGAAGCATGTTGAATTTTATTGAAAGCCTTTTCTGTATCTGTTGAAATGATCATGTGGTTTTTGCTTATAGTTCTGTTTATGTGGTAAATCACATTAATTGATTTGTATATATTAAACCAACCTTGCATCCCAGGGATAAAGTCCACTTGATCATGAAGGATTAGCTTTTGGATGTGCAGCCGGATTTGGTTTGCTAGTATTTTGTTAAGGATTTTTGCATCCATGTTCATCATTGATACTGGCCTGAAGCTTTCATTTTTTGTTGTGTCTCTGCCAGGTTTTGGTGTCAGGATGATGCTGGCCTCATAAAATGAGTTAGGGAGGAGTCTCTCTTCCTCAAGCATTTGGAATGGTTTTAGTAGGAACAATACCAGTTCCTCTCTATGCATCTGGTAGAACTCAACTGTGAGCTCATCTGGTCCTGGGCATTGTCTGGTTGGTAGGCTTTTTATTATTCATTCAATTTCACTTTACTATTGGTCTGTTCAGGGATTAAATTTCTTCCTGGTCCAATCTTGGGAGGTTGTATGTTTCCAGAAATTTATTCATTTCTTCTATGTTTTCTAGTTTGTGCATAGAGGTGTTCATAGTAGTCTCTGAGGGTTTTTTGTATTTCTGTGGGTTTGGTGGTAATGTCCCCTTTGTCATTTTTGACTGTGTTTATTTGGAGCTATCTCTCTCTCTTTCTCTCCTGTTTTTTTTTTAAGTCTACTTAGTAGTCTATCAGTCATATTCTTTCAAGGAACTAATTCCTGGACTCAGTCTTTTGTATATTTTTTTATGTCTCAGTTTCCTTCAGTTCAGCTTTGATTTTGGTTATTTCTTGTCTTCTCCTAACTTTGTAATTGGTTTCTTCTTGTTTCTTTAGTTCCTCTAGGTGTGATGTGTGATGTTAGATTGTTAATTTGAGGTCTTTCTAACTTTTTGCTGTGGACATTTAGTGTTATAAACTTTTCTCTTAACACTGCTTAAGCTGTGTCCCAGAGTTTCTGTTACATTGCATCTTTGATCTCATTAGTTTCAAAGAATTGCTTTAATTCTGCCTTTATTTTATTATTTACCCCATAGTCATTCAGGATAGGTTGTTTAATTTCCATTAAATTGTATGCTTTTGAGTGATTTTCTTACTATCAATTTCTATTTTTATTGCACTGGTTCAGTAGTGTGATTGCTATTGTTTTTATTTTTTTTTAATTTGCTAAGGATTGTTTTATGGACAATTATGTGATGGAATTTAGAGTATGTACCATGTACAGATGAGAAGAATATATATTTTGTTGTTTTTGGGTGTAGAGTTCTGTAGATATCTGTCAGGTTCTTTTGGTCTAATATTGAGTTCAGATTTTATCTTTGTTAGTCTTTTGCCTCAGTGATCTAATTCTATCAGTGGGGTGTTGAAGTCTACTATTATTGTGTGGTTATCTTAAGTCTCTTTGTAGATCTCTAAGAACTTGCTATATGAATCCGGGTGCTTTTATGTTTGGTGCATATATTTAGGATAGTTAGGTCTTCTTGTTGAATTGAACCCTTTAGCATTATGTAATGCCCTTCTTTATCTTTTTTTAATCTTTTTGGTTTAAGGTGTGTTTTGTCTGAAGTTAGAATAGCAACCCCTGTTTTGTTCTGTTTTCTGTTGACTTGGTAGATTTTTCTCTGTCCCTTTACTTTTAGCCAGTGGGTGTCATTGCACATGTGATGGTTCTCTTTTTGGCAGCATACAGTTGGGTCTTTCTTCTGTATCTAACTTGCCACTCTGTGCCTTTTAATGGGGGCTTTTAGCCCATTTACATTCAAAGTTTATATTGATAGGTGTGGATTTGATCCAGTCATCGGATTGTTACCTGGTTATTATGCAGACTTGATTGTGTAATTGTTTGTAGGGCTAATGGCCTATGTATTTAAGTGAGTTTTTGTGGTGTCTAGTAATGGTCTTTCCTTTCCATATTTAGCACACCCTTAAGGAGTGTCTATAAGGCAGGTCTCGTGGTGACAAATTCCTAGCATTTGCTCATCTGAAAAGGATTCATTTATGAAGCTTAATCTGGCAGGATATGAAGCTCTTGATTAGAATTTCTTTTCCTTAAGAATGCTGAATATAAACCCCCAATCTCTTCTGGCTTATAGGTTTTCTGCCAAAAGGTACACTGTTAGTCTGTGGGGTTCCCTTTGTAGGTTACCTGTCCCTTTTCTCCAGCTGTCTTTTATTTTGTCTTTTATTTCGACCTTTAAGAATCTGAAGACTATGTGTCTTGGGCATAGTTGTCTTATATAGTATCTCAGAGGCATTCTCTGCATTTCTTATATTTGAATGTTGGCATGTCTAGTGAGGCTGGGGAAATTTTCGCGAATTATATCCTAAAATATGTTTTCCACGTTGCTTGCTTTCTCTCCCTCTTTTTCAGGGACACCAGTGAGATGTAGATGTGGTCTCTTAATGTAATGCCAAATTTTTTAGAGGTTTTGTTTGTTCTTTTTTGAGTCTTTTTAATTTTAGTCTGAGTTATTTTGGGGAACCAGTGTTTGAGCTTTGGGTTTCTTTTCTCCAGTTGGCTAATTCTGATGTTAATACTGGATTGTCTTCTGAAATTCTTAAAGTGAGTTTCTCAGCTCTATCAGATCACTTTGGTTCTTTCTTACAATGGCCATTTCATTTTTCATCTCCCAAATCATTTTATTGTATTCCTTAGAATCCTTTATTGGGTTTCAGCTTTCTCCTGAATCTTGATGATCTTCATTCTTATCCATATTCTGAATTCTGTTTCTGTCATTTTAGTCATTTCAACCTGGTTAAGACCTATTGCTGGGGAACTAGTGTGGTTGTGTGGAGGTGAGAAGACACTGTGGCTTTTTAAATTGGCAGAGTTCTTACACTGGTTCTTTCTCATCTGTATGAGCTGAGCATTCAGTCTTTGAAGTTGCTGTCTTTTGGATGTGTGGTTTTTTTTTTTTTTTTTTTTTGCTTGCTTGCTTGTTTGTTTGTTTTTATCTTCTTTGATGCCCTTGGGGGTTTGATTGTGGTATAAGGTGAGTTTAGTCAACTGACTTTGTTTCCCTTCCTTTGGAGTTGTTGGGGGCCAAGAATGAATACCTGTGCACGGTAGCCCTGTGCTGGATCCCCAGCTTCCTACCCCTTTGGTCCAGCATCTTTGTCCTCCCTTCATCCACTCTGAATGCCTTCCCTCCAAAGATCTGCTTAGAATGCCCCAGGCTTCCTAATGTCCCAGTCTCTTGGTGGCAGCAGATGTTCATCCTGGCTGCAGCTAGTTGGCCATCTTCAGCACTTCCCCAGAGTGGTTTTAAACATCTTCTTGGATGGGTCCTTTCTGGCCATAAGAGTCTGAATTATCTCTACCCATATAGAATCTTAATTTGATTTTGCTCAAAGCAATAACTTTCATAGTTTATAAACAAAAAGTATTCTAGGGGGTAATGGCTTATAATGTTTAAAAGAAAGAAATGAATGGAGGCAGTGAATGATTTCTCATATTATAAAACATGTTAATAGAACAAAGAAGAAATTTGCTTTTGATAATTGTGCTTGAGAAAAATCCAAATGATGTAATATTATTGCATGTTTTGTTGCTTCTGGGTAACAGGTCTGAGTTTTTTATTGTTTCTACTCTGAGATGGGCTAGGTCTCATTTTACTTTTTTTTTTGAGACAGAGTTTCGTTCTTGTCGCCCAGGCTGGAGTGCAATGGCGCGATCTCGGCTCACTGCACCCTGCGCCTCCCGGGTTCAAGCTATTCTTCTGCCTCAGCCTCCCGACTAGCTGGGATTACAGGCACCCGCTA